>NC_000007.14:113415869-113718900 GCF_000001405.40 Homo sapiens | reverse complement strand
TTTAGTAACTCTTTTTGGTTTAAAATCTACTTTTTCTAATATCAATAAAGCTAAACTATCTTTCTCATAGCATAGGTGTTTTAGTCCACTTTTGATGTTATAACAAAATACCACAGACTGTGTAATTTATAATCAATAGAAATATATTTCTCACAGTTCTGAAAGCTATAAGTCCTGGATCAGCTTTTCATGTCTGGGGAGGGCACAGTTTCCCTGCTTCCAAGATGGCGACTTGTTGCTGTATCCTCAAAGATAGAAGACGGAAGAGCAAGAAAGACACAGTCTCTCTGAAGCCTTTTGAAATAAGGGTATTAATGCATTCTTTTTTTTATAAGTAGCCACTACTTCTCCAGTACTGAAACTTAATTATGCAGAAGATTGTCTAGCATGTAGGTTGGCCGGCACAAATGCACAATTAAGGTTAAGAGCCATAGTTCTGATATTGTTGATATTTTAAAATTAAAGTTTTTAAAACAGTGAAACACTTCTTTTTATGTTGCTTTAAATCTATTTAATTAACACACATGTATTTAAGATTTTCAAATGCCATAAATAAGAGATAGCTTTATAATTCAGATTAGTAAGGACTCTAAAGTAGTTTTAGTTTATACTGAATTATTAGTACATTTAAAATTAAATCATTTTATTTTGCATTATGCTCAGGTGCTACTAGTATAGCTGGAAAAAATCTTTATTGCAAGAAACATAATATAAGAAATTGAACTTTGCTATTCTGCAGTGGCTTATTGTGCCCAGGATATGTTAAAATAGCCTATAATAACAAAAACGAATTTGTTAAATATAGGGTAAATTAAATAAAAATGAAGATTGAAATCTAACAGTGAATCTGATATCATAGACAACTTTAAATATAAATATAGGTCTGAATATTTCTAATTGCAAGAAAATTTCCTATTCAGACACATTTAGTAGAGTTTTACAAATATATGTTGCAGCACCATCTAGCAAACTCCTGGTGTATTTACCACATCACAAACATTTTGTTCTTTTTCTGGTAGTGAATATATTTTGCTGAATATCTTCAGAGTTGTGGAAAATTACATTTTTTATGAAGCAGAAGGAAATACTCTCAATGATAACTCATTACATAGACATTCTAAATTTATACTTTTAAATTCTATTTCCTATATATAAGCCCATGCATTAGAATACAATATACATGCTTTTCTTTTTAAACACAACTCCTCGAATATAATTTTAACATATGCCAATATTTGATATTCTCAACTGTTTACTTTATTGGTCTATGGATGAAATAAAACTAAAAGCCTTGTCTATTATAGCTAGGTAAAATGATGTAAATGGGAAAGTTCATAAATCATAAATTTATATTTTAATATTATTATTCTTGATGACAGTGCAGACAGTTTATGAAATGGAGGAGAGTATTGTAAGTGGGAAAACATGAGTTTGGACATAAACCAACTTACTATTTTTATGACCTTAGGCAAATTATATAACCTCTCTCAAATCTTAGTTTCCTGAGCTTCAACCTGCCAACAATGATAACAACAGTAATAATGAGGCATTGAGAAGAAGTGCTTTGCACAGAATATATAATTCAATAGATTATTTTTCATAATTTACCTCCTACTAAGTTGTTTCTGACTATTTTACAGGTGAAGCTATTAAGAAAGTAAACTGAAAAAAAATCATTTATCAAATACTCAATTTGTCTTGACTGCCTAGGTTCATTTTGACTTATTTCAGACAAAAGTTAACATAGTTTGCATACCAATAGCTCAACATGACCAATGGCAAAATAGTCATTTCTGTCAGTTCAGAAAATTGGTTGGAAGTTTTCATTCAGAAAAAGCAACTATTTTATTAACTGAATTGTTCTGTCTTTTCAACTGGTTAAGGTCTATAATTATATCCAGAGGAACAAATCATCTGAAAAGAAAAAAAAAAGCTGAATTCCAGTAGAACATGCTGAAAATAACCAAGTGAATTCAATGAGCTGGTTTAAGTTGCCTGATTTTTAGAAACATAACCCACATTACTAAGATAAAATGTTTTTCCACTAAGCAAATGTACAAGCAAAACAACCTCCAGGTTTTTATGTCTAGAAACTGTTCTTATTGTTTGAATTGATAGCTGATTTGAAGCTTGGGACACAGGCTGGGTTACAAGCGTCATAATGTCAGCCTGTCAACTATCACATTTCTGAAACACAGCATCCAGTTACTTTGGACAGGGAATGGTCTGCTGGATCCTGAGAGTTCAGTCCCTGCCAGCAGTCTTATAATAGCTGAAGGATGCAGACAGTAACCTTTCCATTTAGCACCGACAAAGATTCCACCCAGAAACCCAAAGCCTGGGAAACACCCGCAGAGGTTTAGCTTAAGTCAGAGTTAAAGCTCTAGTTTCAGTTTATTGTATTTTTTGTCCTCTTTTCTTTTTTTAGAAATTAAGAGACGTTTGACTGAACCAAATATACTGTTTATAAACAAAACACTAAGAACCTTGAAAGCACTAATCAAGTCCTATGATTAAAGCTCCCGTGTCAACTGCTTTGCCTCTTGCATTAACATCTAAATAACACCATTCTGATGGCATAGGAACAAAAGAGTACACGTTTATGACTGGACTATATAAAAGTGACAGAAAGAAATTAGCAGTTAAGGCTTTTCAGAGAAGGTTGGCCTCTTTGGTATAACTAAGCAACCTTTGAGAAGCAGACAGTGGTATTTCAGCACTTGAGTACCATGCTTTGCTGGGTTATTTCAGACACTACAAGTAATGTATTGTTTAGTTGTACCCATGTACACCATTAAATGCATCACAGTGTGGCATGGATTCAGCAAGTTTTAGTCATAACATGCCAGCTGGAGAATATTAAGGGGGGAAAATCCGTTTTCAATTTCTGCTTAATGTTCCGGTGATAATAATGTAACTCACTTCTGTAAATGTATTTACCTTTCAAACACGATAACTACTATTCAACATATAGGTAAAAATAGAATTTTCAGTAATGTGGCATTTGCTTACTCCCACTTCTTTACTCAGTTTTTGAATTTTGTTCTTATTCTTCATTGATACATATATGTTTCAACTTTTCTTTCTTTCTCTTTTTTTTTTTTTTTTTTTTACTTCTAGGGTTAATTAACCTTAACACTAGACTGACATTTGCCAGGTTTACTGGAGCAACAAAAATGTCTTTGTAGGCAAGAATTATACAAACACTGTGAATGTATTTTGCAATTGTTTTCCTGAACATTTTATGGCTACTAAAACCTTATGGTGGGCTTTTACAGTAATTATTGTGGCCTATGAAAAATGTGCTTTTTTTTATTTTTGCCATGAAAATAATTTTCATTTGCTTTCCTGCCCCAATCATTAAAATCTACCCAGAGGATTCCTCCTTGTCTACTGAGCATGTCTACTAAGACCTGCTCCATATTTAACTTGCTCTTAGATCACACCATGGCTTGAGAATTCTTTTAATCTCTTTTCCATTTATAACTGTACTGCTTGACCTTTTTTCAGCAAGGTGTCTTGTATATAAAATGTCAGTGAGAGGATTACAGACATGGGACAAAGACATAGTTTAATTAAAAAAGGTCCTGCGAGACTGAAAAAGGTTACTGGCCTAGATCACAAATATTTAATGCCAGATGACTATTTATGAGGCTAAAATAAAAAAAAAAAGAAAAAATGGCCACTAGTAATTGACCAACCATTACATTTGCAATAATTAAATTATATTTCTGATTAAAACTTTTGCTTTGTCCTTATGATAAATTAAAACATTTAAGCTATGAGTCATGCCAGTTAGAAAATTAAAATTAATTCAACATTATTTTAAGGGAGACAATATAACAGAGGTCTATAGACCTGGTTATTTTTAATGTCAAGGTCTGAATATTTTTTAAAATTCATTCATTGCTTAGAAACTACTTATGTGAAGCTACGTATGGTTTGACTGAACCAAATACATCCATGCAACAGGTGGCTTTGCCACCCATTTATCTTTTCATCTTACCTCATGTACATGCACATATATACAAATTAAAATAGTTAACAACTGAGTTATTTAACCACCGATTCAGCAATGACATCAGTTAATCAGATGGGATCCCCAAGCAGTCTAAAAGGATACTGCTATTTAAAACTAGTTTGACTATAAGTATGAAGGCCAGCAGAATTACACACACACATTCACACAGAAACACACACACACACACACACACAGAGTCATGTGCTGCAGAACAACGTTTCAGCCAATGACAAACTGCATAGTCCACAGAGGTTCCATAAGTTTGCAATGGAGCTGCAAATATCCTATTGCCCAGTGACTTTATAGATGTCCAAACATCATAGGACAATGTGTTACTCACGGGTGTGTGGTGATGCTGGTGCTGCCAGTTGATAAAGTCTAGCACATACAATTGTGTATAGTATATAATACTTGATAATGATAATAAACAACTATGCTACTGATTTATGTATTTACTGTATTACACTTTTTAATCATTATTTTAGAGTGTACTCCTTCTTGGAGTACAAAAAGTTAAGTGTAGAACAGCCTGAGGCAGATCCTTCAGGAGGTATTCCAGAAGAAGCATACAGGAAGTGAGAGCTCCCTGTATATAACATTACTGTAATGTTATATAATAAAAAATGGTAACAATCTGCTTTAAGCTAAACCCTTATCACACTTCCTTTCTAAAACTCAAAAGCTTTTTGGAATCAAACATCCCACCTGAGCATTAAGACGGTACTATGCTGCAGGCTTCCAACCTTAGATAATGATTGATCTTTCTGAAACCGTGAGTTAGGAATCTCATTCTTGTTTGTGATCACTTCTTGATATTTGCCCTGATCAAACACTTCCTCATGTGCGGGAGAATTTGCAGTTCTATTGGAGATACTTGTATGTTTTGTGGACATATAGAAGATAGCTTTTGGTGATTTTACATGACTCTAAATTCAAAAGTTCAAAAACTCAGAAATTCCTTAATTAGTAATATATGAGTATATGGCTCTTTCAGGCATTTGAATGTTTCAGCCATAGAAGCACCAACAATAGCAGGGATAGGACAAAAAATAATAGTTTCAAAAAGTTTGATCCATTCAGTATCTGAATGAAATGTATTCAGGAAGAACTCTGGTAATTAGCAGAAAAGAATGTGCTTACTGCTCATTCATTCAATGAATTGATATTTAATTTAATGACTACTATATGTCTGGCACTATGTCAAGTGGGTAAATAAAAATATAAATATTTTCTCTACTTGTGGAATTAAGGGTCTATTGAGGATGAGGAAGTGATAGATTTTTGTCTAATAACCATACTAATAAATATATAATTACAAACCCAGATAAGTGATATCAAATAAGAAATGCTCTATAAAATCTCACTCGAATGAAGATGATCTGGATAGTGGCTGATCCAGATGAGGCATGGTGAGAGATGAAGACAGTACAGCGAGCCAGTTCTCAAGGAAGGCTCAAGGACGAGAATCATAGAAACTTCCAAGGCTTCAGGAGAAGCCAGTCTGGAACAGACATTTTTACAACTTAAGAATAACAAATCTTCCACAGAAAAATAACCTGACTCCCATGAAGAATCAAACTACCATGGTAGACATTTAGCCAAATATGGATATGATAGACAATCTAAAATATTATAAAATAAGCTTTTCAAAATAATTTTTAAAGACAGATAAGCAGGAATGAAAATGTTAATGTATGATAGAATGCTATGGTCACACACAGGGAAACTAGAAAAAAAGACCAAACAAAATGTAAATGTTAATTAAAGAAAAAAATAATTTAATGGAAGAGTTAAACAGATTAGGAACTGCTGAAATGGTATTAGTAAGCAAGATGTTGAAGATGAAGAAATCACTCAGTATATGTCAAAGGCAGCATAGAGAGATGGAATTGAAAATATGATTTTATTAGCCAGGATCCTCCAGAGAAACAGAAGCAATATGATCTCTCTCTCTCTCTCTCTCGATAGATAGATATAGTATATATATATATATAGATATATAGTATAGATATATAGATATATAGTATATATATAGATATATAGTATAGATATATAGATATATAGTATATATATAGATATATAGTATAGATATATAGATATATAGTATATATATAGATATATAGATATATAGTATATATAGATATATAGATATATAGTATATATATAGATATATAGTATATATAGATACAGATAGATTTATGCCTCTATCTATATCTAGCTATATAGATATAGATATATCTATAAATATGCCTCTGTGTGTGTATATGCAGATAGATAGATAGATATGCAGATAATTAAGCAAAGAAAGGAGGGAAAATAGTAAACAAAACAAAGTGATAGAAATAAGTCCAAACATGTGAGGGAGAGACAGAAAGATACAGAGAGAAGAGGGAAGGAAACAGATTTATTTTAAGGAATTGGCTTATGCTATTGTGGAAGCTGACAGTCTCAAATCTTCTGGGCAGGCCAGCAGGCTAGAGACCCAGGGAAGAGTCATGTTGCAGTCTTAAGTTGGAAGGTAGTCTAGAGGCAGAATTTCTTCCCTCTCTGAAGATCTTAATCTCTTCTCTTAAGGCCTTTAACTGATTAAGTGAGGCCCATGATATTGTGAAAGATAATCTGCTTTATTCAAAGTCTACTGATTTAAATACTAATCATATCTTTAAAAAATACTTCAAAATCTAAACTTGTTGTTGACCAATACAACTGGGCACTTTAGCATAGCCAAGTTGTCACATAAAATTAACCATCACAATGAGTGCATATTAAGAGATGCCAAAGATAGAGTGAGAAAGTCTCATGTTTATTTGGAAGGTGTTCCAGAAGGAGAGGTAGAGACTAGCAGTGAAGCAATATTTACAGAAATATTGCCTGAAAGTCTGTCCAAATGTAAGGGAAAAAAATAAAATTTTTGATTTAAGTGGCACACAAATTCAGAGCAAGAAAATGCAATTAATTCCACAATGAGTGGGTTATTATGAAACTGCAGAACATAAAAATAAAAAGAAAACATTTAAAGGTTTCAAAAGAAAAGACACATCATCTACTAAGGAAAGGTAAGCAGAATAAAAACTGTTTTTTACCATCAAGAGCTACCACAGGTAGTGGAAAAATACTTTCAAAGGACTCAGGAGAAATGATTGAACAAATGGACTTTTATACCCAGCTAAATGATTGATGAAGAATAAAGGCAAAATAAAGGCATATTTTTCAGACAATATCTGAGAGCTTTTCAGTTTGTGGATTTTACTGAAAGAAAAATTAACTGATACATTTAAGTATCTACAAAAGAGGATTCTGATGAAAAAAAATGATGATGCACAAAGTGATTTTCCCTAAAGAAATTTTAAACATTTTAATAAAACTCAGTAAGCTTTGATTGCAAAAAGTATCTGGTTTTGAGGACTTCCAAAGCAAGTAGTATCTAAAATACTGGACAGCTACCCTTAAAGAGGGGAGTATGTTAAAAAATAAATTGTTCTAATGTTTTTGAAAGGACAGAGATATTATTGAATGTTCTACTTTGTTATGTCAAGAATGGATGTTAAAAATAAAAGGACAACTGCTAAAGAAAATGAAAATAAAATACATAATTTCTAAGCTAGTAGAAGAATAAAAGGGAAATTACAAAACAAGCAGAAAGTTAAGCAAGAAAGGATGTAAAATCGTAAAAAAAAGATGACAGATGTCCAAATACATGCTAATAATCACAAAAATGTAACCGAATTAATAAAATATAGATTTTAAGATTAAATTTATTTTTGTTCTAGCTTTGTTTCCTGACAGCATCTAAGCATTAAAACACAGAAAGGCTGAAAGTAAAGTGATGATGAAACATACACTGAAAAATACTAAAGAAAAGGAAACTAGTGTTGCTATGTTAATTTCAAATAAAGTCAACTTTAAGGCAGATGATAATCACCTTATGACTAGCCCCTTGAGTCATCTTAAGTAACTAAATTTATATTCACTGGAAGAGAACTACTAACAGAACTTATCAAGCCACCAACTTCTGGAGACTATGACAGATTCTCAGGAAGCTGTCTGGACAGTATCTTAGGGAATGTCATTCTGTTACTAAATATTTTAATATTAGTACTTGGGTAGATAGTTATTCTAGGACAGCGTGATGCATTTGGATACTTTGTCAGCCCAGGGCTTACCCTCTGGTTTGGAAAACCAAACTGATTTAAAAAAAGGCGTAACTAAAAAATAAAAAGGAAAAGGCCACATAGAGGATTTTGACTAAATGACAGATATTCTATGTGTCTGAGACATTTGGATTAGTGCCTAGTTGACCCAGTAAGCTATTATGCAAATCCTACAAGTTCCATTCACCTTAAGTAAGTGCATGCTTTCTGAGGGACTCCTGGTTGCAATTCAGTTTATGACCACTAGATGGCATGTTGCCTTTTTGCAAAGAGCAAACGTCGCAGACCTGTCAAGTAGCCTTAAGAAGGAAAATTACTGAATAAATAGATAGATAGAAAGGTAATTGTGGATAATGGAAGATGGATAGAGAGAGAGAGAGAGAGACACTGTATAGATAGAAAGGTAATTGTTGATAATGGGGGGTAGACTCTGTCATGAATTAAAATTAATTATTATCTACTTAGAGATAAACTATTAACAATGATGCCAATATAGTGATTTCTAAGATCCTTTTCCAATGCTACAATTCTATAATACCATTTGAGACAGCATATAAACAAATTAAACTTTCTCAGACATCGGAAGAAATTTATATTTCCTTTTAAAATTTGTTTTATTTACTGTTTTATAAAAACTCTTTTGTGTTTTACGTATTCCAGATATTTGGCAACCACATCCCAGGTTAGTCTCATTCGTACTTGGCCTGTATAATCTTCTATTTTATCTCCTAGAGGCAAAGACCTATTCAAAGTCTGCCTGAAGATGAGTTCATTGGGCAGTTAGGCAGCTGCTGCTGTGAGATCAACATTTTGTCCTTGTGGTCCCTTGGAAGGCCCCAGGGCTTTCCTTTTTCTCCAGAGGTGTGCCCCCACTGCTGTTTCAGATGCTAGGATTTCATCCAATCATCTAGTCTGCAAATGTCTGTCTTTGCCTCTTCCATTTCTAGCACTTTGACTTTTGCTGCATGTCTTGACCTGGACAAGTCACTTCATTTCATTGAACCTCTGTTCCTTCACCTGTGAATTAGAAAAAGTGTAACTTGCCTCCCATGGTTATGTGAGAATCCAAAGAGATAATGTGTAAAGTACCTAAAACATGGGCACAGATTGACATATACATTAAAGAATTACATTTTTGAAATTCTGAGAAAAAAATTCAGAGATAACATGAAATTCTGACAAAACAATCTCAAAAAAGCCTGATTCGAAATAATGAAGGGGATAACTAGCAATGCCAATGGGGCTATTCACGTATTCTCTTAGAAGTTCAGAAATTAAAAGTACAAATACACTTCCCAAATGGATTATCATGATTATACAAATTTGATCCAACTCCTCTATCATATATTCATTCCAACAGGTTTGATCTTGTATATACCTATTAAACCTGTGATTAAATAACTACTTTAAAAAAAAGGACAAGTAAAAATTGTTGCTATGGGCTTTTGAAATAGAGTTAAGACATTTAAAGCCAGAATTAAGTAAGTTTTGAGAAGAAAACTAGGATAAAATATCATTCAGCTGAACGTATGAAAAAAGACTTAAGAATATTAATTAGGTGAACATCAATGTTAGCTACCTGTGTGATGAAGCTGACCAATAGGCTGACATTACCTTTAGGCCCCTTAACAGAAATAGTGTCTGCAATGAGGAAGGTGTTAGTCCTATTATGTTTGGCTCAGGTCACATCTCAAGTAGAGTATAGTATTTGTTTCCAAGTGCAAACACTATCAAAAGTGTACTGGCTGGCATACCTTAAGACATAGATGCTGATGGTCTGGATTAGTGGGAGATAGGGGGTTCCAAAGGAGATAGGCTTACTGGGGTTTGAGAAAGTCCACTTTTGTGGCCACAGTTTGCTATTTGAAGGTCCCAGATAAAGTCAGTAGTCAAAATTGGGAGGTGTGTAAAGTTGCCAGATAAAATCAAGAATATACTTTAGTTGCGTGGGACATACTTTTATACTAAAAATTATGTTTTACTTATCTTAAATTCAAGGTAATTTATATAATTAAATATGTCCCTTGCAACTAAAGTCTATTCATTGGTTATCAGAAATTTAAATTTAACTGGGTATCCTGTATTTTTATTTGCTAACTCTGGCAACCCTGGGGATATGATATAAGGATGGGGATGTTCAATGAGCAGAAAACACAATGACAATGATTTCAGAGAAGAGATAGTTAAAATCTATATTAATGAATGCAATATTGCAGCAAAATGAGTCTTTCAGCGTTTGATTCATATTAATACAAGTATCTTATTGTAGACAATGGTCAGAAGTTATATAAAATTAAAAGTCATTGACATTTAACTCATTTTAAATACTAAAGCTTATGAACACTAGAACAATTTCCTTTGCTAGTACCAGCCTGGCCATGTTCAGACACTTCAGTTTCCTGTACCTGCCGTGTATCCCAGCTGCATATCTGCAGAGTGCAGTTGGTGGACATCAGCTTCTTCCTGCCCTCTTAGGCTTCCTTGATTAGAGCCTTTGGGAGCATTGTGTAGCCACAGCCTATTCTCTTTGGCTCCTACTCAGTTGCAGGTCTGACTTTTTTTTTTTTTTTTTTTTTTTTTTTTGAGATGGAGTCTTGCCTCCGTCACCCAGGCTGGAGTGCAGCGGGGCGATCTCGGCTCGCAGCAACCTCCGCCTCCTAGGTTCAAGTGATTCTCCTCCTGCCTCAGCCTCCCGAGTAGCTGGACTACAGGCACTCACCACCATGCCCAGCTAATTTTTGTGTTTTAGTAGAGACATGATTTCACCATGTTGGCCAGGCTGGTCTTGAACTCCTGACTGCAAGTGATCTGCCTGCCTCAGCCTCCCAAAGTGCTGGGATTGTAAGCATGAGGCACCGTGCCTGGCCTGTTCTGACTTTTCTTACAGACTATGCAGGCTGTAACTTCACTCCTTCCCTTCTCTAGAGGTGACTGAAAAGACCTCAGAGGTTTACACTTCAGGTGCCCACTGAGTGGTCCAGAGGTGATGGGGTGCTTTGTGATTAGGGTGCCAGTGTTAGAATGAATGCAGGGAGGCAGGGAAGGGGATGAGAAAGAGAATGTCATGAGTCACCAAAGGTAAATGCAGCAGCTGACTGATGTTTGAAATAAGATTCATGCCAGCAAGACTGAACATTGCAGTATTATAAATGTGTGAAATCCTGGGCAATCAGAGCACACAGAACAGAAAGAAAGTTAGTATAAAGAAACTCTGAAAGTAAAGTATAGGACACTAGCCATAGCAACTGAGATCTTGAGAATTTTTACAGCTAAATTTAAATGGAACAAGAACAAAGATTTTGACACATATCACATTAGAATTGGGAAACGAGCAAAGACTGGATGAGCAGAAAAGCTGATGGTGCTCAGCCATAGCTTTCCATGTCTCTCCTGCCCATGATTATCCTTGGTGGTGGTGAAGGAAGTTTCCAAAGTACATTTCTCAGGGCACTACTCCTCTGATATGCTCCATGAGCAGAAAAATAGATTTCTAAGATTATTTTTAGAAAACACTGTGTGTTATATTCTCCACCTTGAGGATGATTATATTGCACATTAACATATTAAAAGTTTTGAGAAGTCCTGCAGGGTTAAAAAACAAAAAGTCATTTGACTTGGTTCCTTCCAGCATTTGTGTTTGACCACATGACTTTCTCTGGGTGCCACATCTAGTAGTATCTCACAGAACAAGCATTCTGTAAAATCACTGTGTGGGGTGTGGGGTGGGCGGCATATTACTGGCATATGTGGATCAATACTCTGCAGCTTGTCTACCAGGAAGAATTCCAAAGAAAAATATCCAGCATTGTGAAAAGAAAAATAATAATACTTTTAAAAATATGTAAACTTTAGAGAAGTGCAAATTGAAAATCAAAGTTCAAATAATTTGCTCGATGTCACTAGCTCATAAGTAATGGAGGCAGGATTTAAATGTAGGCATCTGGATGCCCCAAGCCTACACTCTTAACTAGTCTAAAAATAGCTGTTCTTTCTTCCCACATATATTTATTAAATATGTAAAAATATGATGGATAATAAGTATATCATGGCCAGGCACTATGTAGGCACCTTTGACACATCCGTGGATAAATAGACAAAATTCCCTGCCCTTGTGAGCTTATATTTGATGATGGGATACAGTGATAGGTTAACTCAAATAAGTTAATTATATAGTTGCCCTATAATTCTATAGATGCTAGTAAGCAATAAGAGCTATGGAAACAGATAGAGTAGGAAGGCCAGGGCATTCAGAGTGAGTAGGGGAAGATTATCATTTACCACAGGGAGGCCAAAATGGGATTCATTGAAAAGGGACATTTGAGCAAAGAGTCAAGAAGGTAAGGGTGGGAACAGTGTAAA
The DNA here is from genome assembly GCF_000001405.40 of Homo sapiens. Taxonomy (NCBI): domain Eukaryota; kingdom Metazoa; phylum Chordata; class Mammalia; order Primates; family Hominidae; genus Homo; species Homo sapiens. The sequence continues at coordinate 113,706,369 of NC_000007.14, read as the reverse complement.
TATCTGGGGTAAGAGTATTCTAGTCAGAGGGCATGGCCAAGGTAAAATCAGGAGCATGCCCAGTGTATTCCATGATGAACAAGGGGGCCAGTGTGGTTCGGTCAGAGTGGGTGAATGGAAGGGTAGGAAGGCAGGAGGTCAGAGAGGAAATGAGGAGCCTGCAGTGCAAGACCTGTGTAAGAACTTGGGCATATGACAAACAATTGAAAAATAATGAGGGATTTATAGACTGAGGAAAACAAGACATTGTGAATCCGATAGCTATTTTCATTCCAGAAGGTGTACACTTGGATGCTATATTGATCTTGCTCAGGGATTGGCCTTGGGGGCTGCAAATATATATAACATAGGGGAAGATATGGGGAGGTAGATTTGGCTTAGATTTGAGGAAGCACCATCTGACCATTTGAAAGAGTCCTTTGAATGAAGGAACAAGTTCCCACAGGAAGGGAGGACCTTCCATCTTAGTGTTATTCTAGCAGAGACTAAGTTTATTTGGGAAAGAAGAACAGGTATTTAGGTATAAAACAAGCGATTCAGTGATAGAGCTGCTAAGATCTCTTCCAAATCTAAATTCTGTGATTCCATACAAATGGCTTTAGATGTATTTGCAAGTCAATGAAATATAATATTGATTGCTTTTTAATATATATAACATAAAATTGACTATACCAGTTTAAACATTTTTTGAAGTGTACAGTACAAGAGCATTAAGTACATTCACATTATTGTGCAATCAATTCCACCATTCATCACCAGAACTTTTTCATCATCCCAAACTGAAACTCTGTACACATTAAGTAATAACTTGCAATTTCCCTCTCTCCCCAGCCTTTGTAGACTAAAAACACTATTCTACTTTATGTCTCTATAAATCTGACTATTCCTAGTACCTCACATAAATAGAATCTTAAAATATTTGTCCTTTGTTTCTGGCTTATTTCAGTTAGCATAAAGTCTTTGAGGTTCATTCATATTTTATCATGTATCAGTGCTTCATTCCTTTTTAATGTTGAGTTACATTCCATTGTAGGTGTATTAGGGTTCTCCAGAGAAACAGAACTAATTTCCATATTAAGAGATTTATTATAAGGAATTGGCTCACATGATTATGGAGGCTGGAAAGTCCAAAATCTGCAGTGTGGACTAGCATGCTTGAAACCCAAGAGCTAATGGTGTCGTTTCCACCCCAAGGCCAGCAGGTGGAGAGACAGGGGAGCTGATGGTATGCATGAACTCCGAAAGTAGTCTGCTGGAGAACTGCCTCTTGCTCCAGAAGGTCATTCTTTTTGTTTTATTCAGGACATCAGCTGGTTGGATAAGACAAACCCCCATTATGGAAGGCAATCTGCCAACTCAGAGTTTACCAATTTAAATGTTAATTTCATCCCCAAACATTCTCCAAGTTGACACATAGAATTAACCATCACCCGTCAAAAGTGGTCTACAAAGAACTTAAACAAATTTACAAGAAAAAATCAAACAACCCCATCAACAAGTGGGCAAAGGATATGAACAGACACTTTTCAAAAGAAGACATTTATGCAGCCAACAGACACATAAAAAAATGCTCATCATCACTGGTCATCAGAGAAATGCAAATCAAAACCACAATGAGATATCATCTCACACCAGTTAGAATGGCGATCATTAAAAAGTCAGGAAAGAGGTGCTGGAGAGGATGTGGAGAAATAGGAACGCTTTTACACTGATGGTGGGAGTGTAAACTAGTTCAACCATTGTGGAAGACAGTGTGGTGATTCCTCAAGGATCTAGAACTGGAAATACCATTTGACCCAGCCATCCCATTACTGGGTATATACCCAAAGGATTATAAATCATGCTGCTATAAAGACATGCACAAGTATGTTTATTGCAGCACTATTCACAATAGCAAAGGCTTGGAACCAACCCAAATGTCCATCAATGATAGACTGGATTAAGAAAATGTGGCACATATACACCATGGAATACTATGCAGCCATAAAAAAGGATGATTTCATGTCCTTTGTAGGGACATGGATGAAGCTGGAAACCATCATTCTGAGCAAACTATTGCAAGGACAGAAAACCAAACACCGCATGTTCTCACTCATAGGTGGAAACTGAACAATGACAACACTTGGACACAGGGCAGGGACCATCACACACCGGGACCTTTTGTGGGTTTGGGGGATGAGGGATGGGTGAGGGATAGCATTAGGAGAAATACCTAATGTAAATGACAAGTTAATGGGTGCAGCAAACCAACACGGCACATGCATACATATGTAACAAACCTGCACGTTGTGCACATGTACCCTAGAACTTAAGGTATAATAAAAATAAAAATAAAATAAAGTAATAAAAATAAAAACAAAAAAATTGATAAAATCTTTATGTGATATCATAACCCTTAAAATATTTTATATGTAATTGACAGTGCTCTTTAGTAACTATGAAAAAGCCCTTAATTGCTATATAATCTAATAAAGTGATTATGTCGATGGTTAAAAAAAAAAGAATTAACCATCACAGTAGGAATATATTGCATTGTGTTTATTGAATCATCAGTTGATGAACATTTTGGTTGTTCCTGCCTTTTTTTCCTATTGTGAATAAAGCTGCTATGAACATGGCACAAATATCTGCTTCTTGAGTCTCTGCTTTCAATTATTTTGAAGGTGAACTCAAAAGTAGATTTACTGGATCACGTGTTAATTCTATATTTAATTTTTTGAGAAACCTCCATACTGTTTTCCACAGAAGCTACACCATTTTAAATCCCAACCAACAGTGCATAAGAGTTTCAATTTCTGCACATCCTTGTCAATACTTGATATTTTCTGGTTTTGGTGTTTTTTTTGTTGTTGTTGTTGTTTGTTTGTTTTTAATCACCATTCTAGTGGGTGTGAAGTGTTATCTCATTGTGGTTCTGATTTTCATTTCCCTAATGATTAGTGATATTTGGCATCTTTCCTGGGCTTACTGGTCATTTGTTTATCTTTTTGGAGAAATGTCTATTCAAGTTCTTTGGCCATTTTAAAATCAGGTTGTTTTCTTCATTTTGAGTTGTAGTAGTTCTTTATATATTCTGAATATTAATTTTTTATCAGAGGTAAGATTTGCAAATATCTTTTCCTATTCTGTGGGTTGCATTTTTGCTCATTGAAAATGCCCTTTGATTCACAATAGTTTTTAATTTTGACAAGTCCAAATAATATAGTTTTTCCTTTGTTACCTATGCTTTTGATATCATATTCAAGAAATCTGCTAAATCCAATGTTATGAAGCTTCCTCCTATGTTTTTTTCTAAGCGTTTGGTAGCCTTTACTCTTAACATTTAGGTCTTTGATTCATTTTGAGTAATTTTTGTATGTGGTATAAGGTAAAGACCCAACTTTATTCTTTTACATGTAGATATTTAGTTTTCCCAGTGCCGTTTGTTGAAGAGACCATCCATTGCCTGGCTTGGTTTCTAGGAATTAAAAAATCAGGAATAAAAATAACCTGAGGTTTATTAGATTAAGTCAATTTCAACCGATAAAAGATTTAACTTCTCAATTATATAAAAAACGTAATTGCTTTCCTAAGTTAAAAACAATCATATAGATACAATTTAAATTAGCACCAGTTTTAAAATGAGCATTATACTTAAACTTCTGTCTTGTTCTAAAACAGCTATGGATAATATTCTGTATATGCTTTTCCAAGTTGTTGTTGTCAATTTCATATTTATATGAATAATCCTCATTTTTTTATTAGTTTTCAGAGGTTCATATTTTTAAACTTTTTTTTCCTGTTTATTCTTTTAACCTTTCAAGGTCAATTAGAACAGTTTTCTGGTTTAAACTGGTATACACTGAAACTCCTACCTTTAGATAATCTACAAAAATGCATTAGTGGGTTATACTCCCTATTCAGGGCTATTAACAAAGATGCTAAAGATCATTAGCTTAAGGGATAGATAATTCCTACTAGTAATGGATGTACAACTGCTCTCTATGCTGATAATATCTAGTTCTATCAGAAGCTTTTAAAAGACATAGATCAAAAGTCAAGGTTGCCCCAAATGTAAAGATTGGAGAGATGTGGATTGCTTAAGATTAATTAAATAAATTCACTCCTTAAATATTTATATATCAATCCCATTTAGGATGTGGAGCTTCAGTTAGACTTATTACCAGATTTTACCCCTCAAAGACTCTTACATGACAGTATTTGCTCTCCTGACTTTTTCTCAAAGGACAAAATAATTTGCCTTATTGTTAACAGTGGAGTTCCATTTTGGTTAAGAAAATACATTGTATCACTTGTGATCTGCCTTTTGCTATGCTTATTGATGGCAGTGTATTTGAAATTAGTGAAAAAAATGGAGACCTGAAATCGTGTACCTCATTTCAGCTGCTTAGATTTTGAAAAACACATTCAATAAGCTCCTACACAGGACTCCTCAAAGTTCATTTCAGTACAATCCACTTGCGTTTATGTTTCATAATAACCATGCTTTATGACAGTTAATAAAGGTTAAGTATATTTAGCCAAGAAAGTAAAGGGTTAGATGTGTGAATCTAACTCTGCAATTGAATAATGAGATCAGCAGTCAGAATTGGGGCAAAGTTTATTCATTCTAGTTAAAACAATTTTTGTAATACAGAGAGCAACTTAAAATTATACCAGTGCAATGATAGGTGAAACTTGCATCTCAAAGTCTTCAAGGGTGAGGATGGAAATGTATTTTGGGGGTGGTAGTGATCATATTTGCAACATTTCTATTATAGTGAAGAACTCAGCAAATGAGAAGCCATACATGCACTGTTTAGAAGTCAGCAATTCTATGTGATAAGCAAGGGGTTTGGCAACCTCAAAATTTTCTTTTAAATGTTATTTTAAAAATTAAACACAGAAAGCCAAAATCTTACTGTAAAATTCTAAGAAAAGTGAAAACTCATGCACATAAGATTCTGAAATATGTTGTAACCCCTCTGGGATCACTAAACAATATTAAATAAATCAGATATGTAGCTAGATTAATTCAGGTTATAGTGATTAACAGATAAAGTACATGAATATTAGGTTATAAAATTATTGGCATAAACTTATTAAAATATTTCAATAAAGTGGGATAAAAGCAAATTTGCAATTAGTGGTAATGAGTTCACAATTAGCTTTATTATGAGGATGCTAAAATGCACTAGAAAGGCAATGTAATGCAATGAAATACTGATACAGGGACTCCCTGACTTACTGAATGAATTTAAATGAAATCTGATAGGCAGAGTGAGCACTTACTGTAAAAGGTGTATATCCATAAGAAAAGAGGCAAATATACTCTGATGGTTTGCTAAATAAATAATAATTTAATCATAGGTAAAAATGAAACCCTAAATATGTGATGTAATCTTGCATCTGATTCTGGCTTACATAAGCCAATTTCCATTGGAATTTGAAATTCTCACACATTTTAGGTGGATATTGACAATCCAAGTGGAGAAAGGGACAATGAATAGAGATTTTAAGTCATACATATCAAAGCAGAGTGTTTTCTATTTTAGATAATCAAAGTAAACAGCACCATAATTTGCACAAATCTGACATTCAATAAACTAATAGTTATTAAATGAACGAATCCATTTATTCATTTAATAAATATTAAAAAGCAATACTTTAACACAATTCTGTAGATTTTAGGTTGTCAGTTTAGAAATTAACATGTATTTTTAATATCTGACTAACCCAGTAATAAAAGTACAATTATAAAAAAGTGAACTTCCCTCTTTTATTTTCTTGCCTCACTCCCTGATTTCTCTTAAATCTTACCTCCTGCATGCAATATCATTTGGAAAGTGATTCTCATGTTTTGATTTGTTTATATTACTTGGCTATTTGGACTGTGCCTATATTATAGCTGAAAAGCAAATTGAAAGTGATCTGGGCTGGGCTCAGTGGCTCACGCCTGTAATCCCAGCACTTTGGGAGGCCGAGGCTGGTGGATTGCTTGAGGCCAGCAGTTCAAGAGCAGCCTGAGCAACATGGTGAAACCCTGTTTCTACAAAAATTAGCCGGGCGTGGTAGCATGCAACTGTAGTTCCAGCTACTGGGAAGGCTGAAGTGGGAGGATTGCTTGAGTGCTTGAGCCCAGGAAAAAAAAAAAAAGAAGAAGAAAAGAAAAAGAAAGTGATTTGTTCACTTTTAGATCTTGACACCGGACAATGTAGAATAGGCTTAAAGTTATAAGAGCTGAAAACAGCTATAAGAGTAAGCAACACTTAACATTTTTGCTTCATCTTTTTTGGTCACTCATCCTGATTTGGACTGGCAACTTAAAAGTTTTACATGAAAATTTGCCTGTATGAGACTTTAGTTAGCAGTCTGAGGTCAGCATGTATATGCTTTTGTTTAGTGAAAAAAATCTAGATAAGAATAAGAAGGAAAATAGAAGAAATCCTAAAGATTCCTATGTTCTTTTGGTTAAATTAATCTACTTCTCAGCCCAAAGGTCATAGCCAAAGAAATCTTGGAGTGCCTGCCTAAAGCACGCATGCACACACACACACACAACCATTAAATAACTTCTGTGGTTACACCAAGTTCATACAGACCAATGTCAATTCTGTTACTGTCATTTTTCACAAATTGTATCTCATGAAGTTCACCCTGAGTTTGTTTCTGTGACAGTGACTTTTAAAAAACAATCACTTTCAAATTACAAGATGTATTTTAAAGTAATTGAGATCTGCTTAAAAGATATTTTTCTCCATCTTTCTTTCTTGGTTTCACTGATATTAACAGTCAAGTTCAATAGATTTGTTTTCCCTAAAAATAGTTTAATAGCTCATTTTTATAACCTAACCATTTGATGTGGTTTGGCTCTGTCCCCACCCAAATCTCGTCTCGAATTGTAATCCCCACATGTGGATGGAGGGACCTAGTGGGAGGTGATTGGATCCTGGGGGCGGTTTCCCCCATGCTGTTTTCGTGATAGTGAGGGAGGTTTCATGAGATATGATGACTTAAAAGTGGCAATTTCCCTTCATCTCTCTCTCTTTCTGTCTCGCTCTCCTGCTTCCCTGTGATAAGATGTGCCTTGCTTCCCCTTCATCTTATGCCATGACTGTAAGATTCTCAAGGCCTCCCCAGCCATGCAGAATTGTGAGTCAATTAAATCTTTTTATTTATAAGTTACCCAGTCTCAGGTATGTCTTTATAGCAGTGTGAAAACAGAGTAAAACACCGTACATATGTACATTTTTAAAGAACTAACCTTGACGGTGTATGAAAACTAATAGCAAGTGAATTTAAAAAATACCTATTCTTTAAATAGGAAATCCCATTTATATTCAAAATAAAAAGGAAAAACAGTATTAGGAAAGTAAATCTGATAGATTCAGAGTTCAAATTATTATTGTAAGATAGGGAAAAATTTAGACACTTAAAATGCATAATTATTTAAAGTTAAAATACTTCACATAAACCAACAACATTGCTCAATAATGCCAATTAAAATATTAAACATTCTTGAAGCACAGTTTTTGTGGAGGAGTGTAAGATTTTTCCTAAAATTACAATGCATGCGCTATGATGAGTTCTATCCTCCAGAGGGCAGTGCAGTACAAACTCAGAGGACATAGAACACAAAATCAACGTTAACTTATTTTATTCCAGTGGTAAGACAAAATAGCACAATTCCTAGGATCTGCTATAATGACAAAATTCCAGGCTGCAAGATAGAAAATACTGCTGATCGTGTAATTATTTTAACCATATATCAAGTCAATTTTTAAAATGGAGATTTAAAAAATGACTAAATTGATCCTGTTGGTTGGACATAGCGTCAGTAGATTTTATTTAAGACTGTAGTCGACAAAAATGGTTCTGTGACTCTGTAAGCCTTTGCTTCGGGTTGTATGAGCTACTTAAAAAAGAAGTAATCCTCTATTTTCTCCTACAGGATAGAAAGGTACAACTCGCTTTTATAAAGTTATTTTTTCCTGCGTATGGCTCTTCAAAAGTCGTTTCAAAACTGCAAGTAAAATCTACTTACAGCGAGTTATAATAGCAAATGTAATTTTTACACTCTTAAGGGTAGTTTTTGCAAAATTCCTAAAACTTTGGCGCTACTGTTGGGAAACCACTTAACTAATGCCAAGAGATGTTAAACCTCAAATTGGGCAGTCAAGGTAAGGACATTAATGAATCTTTAATGCCAGGCGAAAATACTAAAGTACTTGCCAGGTGGAAACCTGGGTCTTTCTTCTTTTTCTTTCTTTCTTTCTTTCTTTCTTTCTTTCTTTCTTTCCTTCTTTTTTTTTTTTTTTTTTTGATGGAGTCTCACTCTGTTGCCCAGGCTGGAGTGCAGTGGCCTGATCTTGGCTCACTGCAACCTCCGCCTCACAGGTTCAAGTGATTCTCCTGCCTCAGCCTCCCTAGTAGCTGGGATTACAGGTACGTGCCACCACGCCTGGCTAATTTTTTTTGTATTAGAAACCTGGGTCTTTCTAATGCCAAACTTTTAATGACTGCATTATATAATCTCTTAGTTTTGGAGTGAGTAATATTATGGTGTGATTTCTTAATTATTCTTAAGATGTGATCTCTAAGACTATGCTCTAACAAATTTTGGTTAGTCCAGTCACATGAACTTTGATGAGGATAGATTTGTATGTACCTAAAGCTTAGAGCCACTAGGTATACACATAGTGGTTAGGAGTATCTCTCTGGAGCCACATGAATGGACTTTAACCCTAGCTCCACCACTTTTAGCTATATGACATTGAGCAAGTGTCTTAACGTCTTGGGACCTTAATTTCCTTATGTGAAAAATAAGGTTAAAAATAGTAAACTCATGTGATCATTACAAATGTAGTATCACATGGATAATACGTAAAGAAATAGTGTCCTGCAGACAGAGGAGTGTCTCCATAAATGTTAGTTATGGGTATTGTTTAAACACACACACACAGTCATGAAAATATATATAAAAGCAAAATTCCCAAATGTCTTAGTTTATTCTATTCATTGTATTTTTTAAATATCAAATCAAATAGCTAATTTACAAAAGAGTCAGACTGTTTTTGATACTTGATTGTGACCATTTTTAAGCCCCCCCAGTCTCTTCCGCTTTTGCCCAACATCTGGGAAAACCAGTAAGGAAACTTGGATATGGCAAGTTCAACCCACACAGAGGAATCCTCTTCCTATCTTTACACCGTAACTACAATAAAAACAGAGCTAGCACCCTCCATGCTCTCTTGAGTCATTTTCATATCTTCTTTTGAGCCTGCCCTGCTCTCCCCAGAAAGCTCCATTATGTACATAATAAATTTATTCACACCATCTTGGTGTATGTATCATGCATGGTATAATCAGTTTCCACATCCAAACCAAATTTTGGACAGGTGTTGGTCCCATCCTCTGCAGAGCAACCACAGACCAATCTTGAGGTCTGTCTTGTAGATGCATTTCTCCAAACTCATGTATACATTTGCTACCTATGAAACAGTTCACCTGAGAAATGTGGAAATTAATTTTTGTTATTGTGTTAATCCAGTTCTCTCTGAAACTATGAAAATCCCATTAATTAGAATTAAAAATTCTAAGGCACATTTCCTCTTATACTAAGAATATTTTGAGAAAGCCTCACTGGTATCCATTTTGACTTTAACCCTTGAGTAAACTTCAAACATTCATTGAAAAAGGACTTAACACCATGAGTTACTTCCATTTTCAGAGACCTACTTTGTGAAGGACTTCCAGGTGTAATGCAATAACAGGCCAGAGAACTATAAAGACGAATTCTTGTTAAAGACCTTTGAACTTGAATCTAATACATCTCTGTATCAGGCCATAGGTTTAAAAAAAATATAGGAGCTGGGAAAGGAACATACTAAAGAATACTACAAGAATACAGTTAGCCAAATTCAGAATGTGGGAAATTTTATAGCACAAATAATACAGTTTCTTTGACAAAACATGCCATTAAAGGGGAGGAGGAATTGTTATTGATTAAAATGTGATATAGACACACAATGGAATATTATTCAGCCTTAAAAAAAGAGGTAAATCCTGCCATATGTGACCACATGATTAAAATTTGAGGACATTATGCTAAGTGAAATAAGCCAGTCACAGGACAAATACTGCATGATTTCACTTACCTGAGGAATCTAAAATAGCCAAACACATAGAAACAGAGAGTAGAATGGTGCTTGCCAGGGGTTTAGGGGAGGGGAAGATGGGAGTTGCTGTTCTAGGGGTAAAAAGTTTCAGCTATGCAAGATTAATAAGTTCTAGAGATATACTGTACCCATTGTGCCTATAGTTAACATTACTGTGTTGTACCCTTCAAATTTGTTAAGGGGGTAGATCTCGTTAAGTGTTTTAACCACAATTTTTAAAAGTAATATTTTAAGAGTCACATCCCAGACAAATGCAGTTTGTACCTTGCTTAGATTTTGATTCAAATCAGCTAAATATAAGAATACAATTTTGAGATAATAAGGGAAAATTGAAAAAGAATTGAATATTAGACAATAAATTATTATTTTGTTTGGTTGTGATGATGGGATTGTTCTATTTTTTTTAATTCCTTCACTGTTAGAGATTTGTAGCGACATGCTTATGGGTGAAATACCAGTATGGTGAGATTTGGCTTAAAATACTCCATTTAAAAAATGAAGAAATGTGAAAGAGATAAGATAATGAGAGAGATAGATAAGATGAGATAATATAAAGAGAAATAATGAGATGAGATAGATAATCATTTTTGAAGCTAAGTGCTAGGTATGTGGATTTTTATCAATTATCTCCATTTCTGCATATGTTTGACAATTTCTGTAATGAAAGATGAAAACAAAAGGGCTCTTCTGCTTGCCAGAACTCTTAATAAATATTGGAAAATCATTTTTTTAAAAAATGAATGATGAGTATGAAATTCATCAAATAAAATATTTCAATATATCAGAATATATATTTCCTAAGGTGTGATGAATTCAAATAATGTAAAGGGAGGGATAGTTCCAATCTTAAACTAGACATATCTTGATTTACAAAGCAGTGGAAATAACCAAAGCACATGAAGTGGGTTATAGTATAGTGATAGTTTATTCACAAGCCACACAATCTGAGAGTTGTGATGAGAAGGATTGTTGAGTCCAAAGTCAGAAGCCATTATTGACACAGGCAGTCTGCCCCATCTCTGGGGTTGGGAGAGGGGGGAAGGCAGCTTTTGAAAGCCATCTGCTTGGGCCCCAAGCTGTTTACGTGGCTGTTTGCACTGCTGGTCAGAACAGCATTTGGATATTCCTACCCTGGCGTGAGGGTCAGGCTCCCCACCTGCTGCCAGGGACCCCAGGGTTATTTGCCTTCTGCAGCTGATTTTTTAGCTCATATCAGCTTGGGACTCGGAGAATTCGGCTGTTTACCCTCAGTGTCTCAGCCAGTCAGTCCCTCAGGGAGGCCTTCCCTCTTCTGCATCCCAGGTCCACTTCTGGTGCTCTTGCCAATTCAGAAAAGACAGTACAAAATGTTCATTTGCATATTATTCATAAATAACCTAGCCAGGATGTGTAATGGGTTTAGTAATCCATATCACCACTTTCCTTACATCAGCCTGATTTTAAAGGGCTAAAACGGATTAGAGCTTTGCAAGATTTTATTGTTATTATTTCTGTTTGTTTGGCTGGTTTTTTGTTTGTTTTGTTTTGTTTTATTTTTTGGTGGGATGAGCATTAATGGATATTGTCTGAGACAATGTTGCATTAAATTTACCATGCTTTTACTATGTCTTATTAAAATAAATATCTATGGGTTAATTTCTTTGCCAATTTAATTCAATTCATGTGTATACAGTAGCTGATACATGCCAAACTTGGTAGTGGGTGTACAGGAATACAGAGATCATTAAGACTTATCTCTCTCGAGAAGCTTGTAGTTACTCTTCTTGGTGTGTTAGGTTGATGGTGGGAACATGGTGAGCAACAGCCAGGTACACAAATAACTATAGTGTAATATAAGTACATCCTAGGAATAGTGCAGATGATACATAAATATATAAATAACACTTAGAAATAACAGTGTACTATGCAAGCCCTGTGAGGGCTGATGATATAAAAAGAACAAATGTCCTACAGCTTCAGAGGCTTATGTTAGTCCCATAAATACATTTCAATAAAAAGTTACAACCTCAATGTACAATATGATACCATTGACAACCAGTGTCTATTTAAATTTAAATGAGTTAAAATTTCATAAAATACAAAGATCAGTTTCTCATTAGGTATTGCCATATTTGAAGTGCCTAATAGCTACATGTGGCTGGCGACTACTGTATTAAATGACATAGAAGATTTCCATCACTGAACAAAGTTCTATTGGATAGCACTAATTCACAGTACCAGGGTCTGTAACGACCCCTTCAGCGGCTAAGATGCATATTAATTACCTGGTTATTTTGTTGAATGCTAATTCTGATTCAGAAGGTCTGGCATGGGGCCTGAGATTCTGTGTTTCTAACAAGCTCCTGGGTGATACTGAAACTACTGGTCCATAGACCGTACTTTGAGTAGCATGGACCTATACTCTTCCATTCACACTAAAGAAAAAATTATGTGACAAGGGGACTTTGTTTTCTTCCTTCTTTGCACTGGAGGACTACTTATTTTAATTGGGGCATAGGGAACTTGGATTATTATCATTACCCTATAAGAAGAGTTTTTCCTCTAACGTCTTTGAGATCATATTCTACAATTCAATTGTATCCATACAAATGTTTAGAAGTTCCCACATTTTAAAAACTTTAGCCTTGAAACATAAAAAAAAAAAAAATTGTGCTTTATGCCCAACCCATTCCCTTCCCCATCTGATTCTGACCATTCATCAATCTATACAAAATCAAACAGATTTTAAATCACTTTTAAATCAAACTGAATTGAAAATTTTATCTATTTAAAAAATTTGAATGTATGTAACTACTGCACTAATAATGCCACATGCAGTTTTTTGTTTTGACTAGTTTGTTTCAAAGTTTTGATTTTTTCAACAGTTTTTTCTAGTCGTTACCACTGTAAGAGATTTTACAAGAGAAAATAATTACAACTTAAATAGGAACTCATGCCTATTTCAAGAATACTGCGGTTATTATTTAGGAAGGAAAGAAAATTGAAAATAGCCCCAAATCCTTGATATTAGCAGCATGTACGATACTTCTATTCTGCTCCTTTTTCCTGTCTCATTAAATTCAACTAGGACTTACTATCGTTATGTCAGTTCAAAATATCCATTCTCTTAAAACAGATCAGGCATAGTGTCAGTTTTGTATTCAGTATTTTAGTTCTGTCATTGTTCTCTGGAAAGCTCTTAATTACATTTGCATGTTGCATCCTGCTTATCACTGCTGCCTCTAATCCCATGCACATAAAAAAACCCCACAAAAAAACAAAGTAAAATGAAACAAAACAAAATGGATAGAAAATAAGCTCAATTTATTTTTCTCTCTCTTTAGAGGTAAGTAGCCTTATATCTTCTAAAATCTCTTGAAGATACTCTGAGTTCCCCAAATTATGCCTTAATAATCTGACAATATTAATTTAAGTAACCCATGCAATGATATATGCCCAAGGAAAAATGGTTTTACTAACCATAGATTCACAGGGAATTCAAAAATCATATTGAGTGTTCCTTATCCCTACTGAAATTATTCAGATTAAAAGGTTAACACAAATGGGGACCTTGTTTCCTAGTAATATATGGAAAAGACAATCCATTAGTCACCCTTTTCAAATAGCTAATTGACAACCTGGGCAATGTAACTTTAGGAAATCTGACTCCCAAGACACTGACTTGATTCTTATGTTTTTATGTAGAGTGATCTACAGTGCTGAAAGAAAATGTCTAGGTGGTATGTTCGTGTCTTCTATCTTCTATACCTAGATGATTGATTCAGTTTTCTTAGCTTTTTGGTTGCATGTTGTCTTCATATTCTGCTGCTTCTTTCTCCTTCAATGTTCCCACGAAGCTCAAACTATTATATAATGTGTACAGAAGGCAAATTCAATATAAATTAGTAATCGCGATTGGTTTGGGTTTGTGTAGCAAGAAAAAAAATTATTTACTATTCTTTTTTTAAACTTCAAGTCTTATACTAGATTGACTTTGCAAGAACAAATTAACGAGACCAGAAATAAAGGGTCATCAAATTTTCTGCTGATAATTATATCATTTAGATTATAAGGGATACTTATTCACATGCACATTTTCATCAGCAAGTTGCACACAGCCTGTCTTTGAAATTATCATTGTTATTATTAATATAAAATTAATAATAAGTGAGATTCAACACTAGCAATTGAGTGCATCCAGAGAAAAACAATGAGGATGAAGGATTTATGAACACTATTGGATGAATAACCTTTTTTCAACTTATTTATTTTAAATTGATACATAAAATTGTATGTATATTGCCAACTTAAAGAAATACACATTATATTGATTTCCATTCAACTTTCTCATAACAATTTATTATACAGAATCAGAATCTTCTTTAGTGAATCGGTCAACTTGACAGAATAGCTCTCTCTATAGCCCAAATTACAGTTTATCATTTTGGAAATTATACTCTTTGAAGAATTATTTCCATCCCCAAAAATGACAAATATAGATTTGAAAAATAGTAGCAACAAAACACAGCTATGGAAAATGAATTCTCCATGTCTCAGACTTCTCTCCTACCAATTACCAAGAAAGAAAAGCAGACTACTCAGGAAATTTGATTTAATAAGTCACTCTTTCTTTACCTTCATTCAGAATTTGTCTGCCTATATAGATAGACTCTTAAGGGGGTTTTGTTTGCTTGCTTCTCGATTTCTGTCACCTCTGGTCTCTATTTTCCTTTATGCCTTGTTTCCCTTTATTCTTGATCATCCTTATTTTCATACAGAGATGGCCTGTGTTCATTGAATAAAGTGAGAAACAAATGTACTAGAACTCTTTGTGCATAGTTTCAGTTGCATAAATATGAATGTAAGAAGTG
Source organism: Homo sapiens (assembly GCF_000001405.40). Lineage (NCBI taxonomy): Eukaryota > Metazoa > Chordata > Mammalia > Primates > Hominidae > Homo > Homo sapiens. The sequence continues at coordinate 113,691,362 of NC_000007.14, read as the reverse complement.
TGGTCCACAAACTCCTTTTAACCTAGACAGCTGAAAGAAAATTAAAAAGTAGAGTGGTCAAGATTAACTGGATGAGAAAACCAACCAGCAGCAATATTCTCCCCAATATCACACTTTCTTTATCCACTCATGGATTGATGGTCATCTGGGCTGGTTCCCTATTTTTGCAATTGCAAACTGTGCTGCTATAAACATGCGTGTGCAGTATCTTTTTCGTATAATGACTTCTTTTCCTCTTGGTAGATACCTAGTAGTGGGATTGCTGGATCAAATGGTAGATCTACTTTTAGATTTTAAGGAATCTCCACACTGTTTTCCATAGTGGTTTTAACAGTTTACATTCCCACCAACAGTGTAAAAGTGTTCCCTTTTCACCACTTCCATGCCAACATCAGATATTTTTTGATTTTTTGATTATGGCCATTCTTGCATGAGTAAGGTGGTATCACATTGTGGTTTTGATTTGCATTTTTCTGATAATTAGTGATGCTGAGCATTTTTCCATATGCTTGTTTGGCCATTTGCATGTCTTCTTTTAAGAATGTTTATTCATGTCCTTAGCCTAGTTTTTGATAGGATTGTTTGGTTTTTGCTTGTTGATTTGAGTTCCTTGTAGATTCTGGATATTAGTCCTTTGTTGGATGTATAGATTGTGAAAATGTTCTTTCACTTTGTGGGTTGTCCGTTAACTCTGCTGATCATTTCTTTTGCTTTGCAGAAACTTTCCAGTTTAATCAAGTCCCATCTACTTATCTTTGTTTTTGTTGCATTTACTTTTTGGTTCTTGGTCATGAAGTCTTTGTCTAAGACAATGTCTAGAAGGAAGGATTTTTCTGATATTACTTTGTAGAATTTATGTGGTTTCAGGTCTTAGATTTAAGTCTTTGATCCATCTTGAGTTGATTTTTGTATAAAGTGAGAGATGAGGATCCAGTTTCATTCTTCTACATGTGGCTTGCCAATTATCCCAGCACCATTTGTGGAATAGGGTGTCCTTTCCCCACTTTATGTTTTCACTTGCTTTGTTGAAGATCATCTGGCTGTAGGTATTTGACTTTATTTCTGGGTTCTCTATTCTGTTTCATTGGTCTATGTGCCTATTTTTATACCAGTCCCATGCTGTCTTGGTGCCTGTGGCCTTACAGTATAGTTTGAAGTCGGGTAATGTGATGCCTTTAGATTTGTTCTTTTTGCTTAGTCTTGCTTTTGCTATGTGAACATTTTTTGGTTCCATGTGAATTTCAGGATTTTTTTTTCTAGCTGTGTGAAGAATGGTTGTGGTATTTTGATGAGAATTGCATTGAATTTGTAGATTTCTTTTGGCAGTATGGTCATTTTCACAATATTGATTCTACCAATCCATGCACATGAGATGTATTTCATTTGTTTGTATCGTTTATTATTTATTTCAGCAGTGTTTGTAGTTTTCCTAGTAGAGGTCTTTTACCTTCTTGGTTAGGTATATTCCTAAGAATTTTAATTTTGGAGCTCTTGTAAAAGGGGTTGAGTTCTTGATTTGATTCTCAGCTTGGTTGCTGTTTGTGTATAGCAGAGCTACTGATTTGTGCACATTAATTAGCTAGATTTAACCATTCCACAATGTATATATACTTTAGAACATCAATCAATCAATAAGTTTGAAAAAAGTTATTCGTCCAATAGTGTTCATAAATCCTTCATCCTCATTGTTTTTCTCTGGATGTACTCAACTGCTAGTGTTGAATCTCACTTATTATTAATTTTATATTAATAATAAAAATGATAATTTCAAAGACAGACTGGTGTGCAACTTGCTTATGAAAATGTGCATGCAAATAAATACCCCTTATAATTTAAATGATATAATTATGAGGAGAAAATTTGTTGACCCTTTATTTCTGGTCTTTTTAATTTGTTCTTGCAAAGTCAATCTAGTATAAGACTTGAAGTTAAAAAAAAAGAATATATATTTTTTTCTGCTACACAAACCCAAACCAATAGTGATGACTAATTTTATTGAATTTGTTTTCTGTACACATTATATAATAGTTTGAGCTTTGTGGGAACACTGAAGGAGAAAGAAATAGCAGAATATGAAGACAACATGCAACCAAAAAGCTAAGAAAACTGAATCAATCATCTTGGTATGGAAGATAGAAGACACGAATGCTACCACCTAGACATTTTCTTTCAGCTACTGTAGATCACTCTACTTAAAAATATAAGAATCAAGTCAGTGTCTTGGGAGTCAGATTTCCTAAAGTTAAATTGTCTTTTATCATTCTCAATTACCTTAAAAAAGTGTTTCCAGATTCTCTACCTTAGATTACAATATTTATAACAGGTCAGTCAGGCAACAGTTTTGAAGTGCCTGCCATTTTCATTGCCATCACATGTATGATCTTGGTAGATAAATCCAGATGGCAAAAAATGGACAAATGTAATATCTCAATATTTTGGACAACAATGTAAGGTACTTGCTAGAGAAGCGTGTTTACCCAGATTATTATAGCTAGGCTGTAAAACACATCACCATAGTCTCTCTTTTTATGACGTGTATTCTAATTTCTGTTTCTAAATGAAAGAAAATACATAGAATACGATTTTTACAAACATCTTAATATTTACTATGATTTTAAAATTAAATAGTAGACTAGATTGAATTTCCTAAAGAAAGTTTCTGCCTTCATTTAATCTGTGTGATTGAAGTATAAGGATAATTTTAATCAGTCTTTGTATGTTTCTTAATTAGCTCATCCTTCCCTAATTATTACATTAGCTGAAGTTTTCATTAAAGCCTTTCTGTTCCTTATCTCTGAAGGACAGTGTCATAATGAAGTTGAAGGATATGTAGAGGACTAAGGTGATGGTAATTTATAATTTATAATTTAATGTGACAAGCTGACATTTCACTTATTATGGTGAAACCATTTTAGGAGGAAGGACAACGCATATTTAAAGGATACATGTAGCAATAAGTGACTTGTAAAAATCACAGATGAACATAAGTACAGCTCAACTTACATATCCTTAAATTCTTCATCCTTCGGTGGGAGGATGGTCCTCCTTTAGTACTCAGCTAAAACTCCAAGTCTTCATTTTATGCGAGTGCCAGAAGCCTAGTGTGCTCTGTAAGTGCTGTGCTACATTTTACAAAGTCTGAAGTGCATATTTGTTCACATTTTAACATCATTGAAGTAGGATATGTCCTACAGTCAACAAAATCTTGCAAATCACTGCCAGCCAGCAGCAGAAATAGCTGTCTTTGTTCATTACACATGTGACCTTGGTAGATATTCACAGTGGCATAACTGGCCTATGTATCATCTCGACATTCTGAACATTTACATGTAAGGATAATTTGAGGAAAGAATATGAGCCCTGTTGTATGAAAACCTTCCCGTAAGTCTGACAGCAAGATTTAAAAAGCATCAGCTTCAAAACTAGTATCAATGGCTTGGGAGAAAATCTGAGTCAATAGTAGAGCAGTCTTTGAAGACAGGCTGCATCACTACATTATTACTGGAAAAAAACAATATATTAATGACTCTGAGTCAAAAAGGGACTCAGTAGAGTCAGACTTGATGTAAAGACACTGTAGACCTCTCTTAATTTAATTGCCTATATTTTCATTTTTTATGTACATGCAAGAGTGATATGTAATTTTTAAAGATTTGTGTTTAAACAAGTCTAAAAGTATTCCTTCAATATAACATAAATATTTAATTTATATGAAACTGTTGTATGACAGTTTAATTGGCAGTGTTATTGTTTTCTACATTGTAGCAAATAAAATAATGGTGCACCTTAAAATGATAGCATCTTAGACTCAAAAAAAAATTATGTTTCTAGGAATTTCCAGGGACTTATTAAATGTCCCAACAATTATTCCTGACTGTTGCCCCTTATCTTTCTGATGATACCAAGCTTCATGTGCTTCGGAGGCCCACTTCTCATGGTCTGTTCCTTTTTTAATGGCATTTTGCATTATGGGAATCCACAAGGCAGAATAGACACCAGGCTATGGCATTAAGAAAACTATTGGAATCTTGTGGATGTGAGGAAAATTTTAATGCTATAAAGGAAAATTTAGCCTGGAATATTTGATAGCATTGTGATTAGAGATCATTGCTCTGCTTTTCTACAGAGAGGCTCTTTCTAGATTTTTCCTTGGTCTTGCTTCTCTCTATTGCTTCAGGAAACAGCTTGCCATGCTAAAAAGGGAACACTCTCAGCTGATAGTGAAATCCCATTGATGTCTAAAAAATTTGCCGAGGTTCCTTCTGGTTCACAGTGAGGATTGCTGTCTACATTATTATGGAGAATAGTTTATTTTCTTTTTATTTTCCTTTCTTTTTTTTTTAGGAGATGGGACCTTGCTCTGTTACCCAGGCTAGAGTGTGGTGGTGCAATTACAGTTCACTGCAACCTCAACCTCCTGGGCTTAAGGGATTCTTTTGCCTCATCCTTGAGTAGCTGGAAATATAGGCAGAAAGCTCTACAGCTAGCTAATTTTTTTGAAGTTTTTTTATATGACCAGCTATGTTGTCTAGGCTGGTCGCAAACTCCTGGTCTCAAGCAATCCTCTCGCCTCAACCTTCCAAAGCACTGGGATTACACATGAGAGCTACAATGCCTGACCATCTTATTTTCTAATTGACTAAAATTTCTCCCTTCTAGAATTACATTTTTGCTTTACTTTTCCATAAGCAAAGGTCTATTAAAATGTTTCTGTCTGTGGCATGTGTGTAAATTTTTCAAAATTGAAGAACAGTATCCTCCTAAAAATTAATTCTGCTTCTATTCCTAAATCAATAGACGAAAACATGAGGCAGTAAGTTAAAATAGCAGCTTGTTCTTGCTAGATTAAAAAAAAATTAACTGAAAGAAAATATAGCCAAAAATCCTAAATTGCATTCTGATGACTTGAATTTTGATCCTATATTTGCACTAAAAGCTCAGTGACACAAATGAATGGGTATTAAGAGATAATACCATCCTCTGAAACTAAAAGAGAGTAGATAGATTAATAAATGCAAGTTAGTTAGACTTGAGCTTAGTTTCCAGAACAGAATAAACTAAAGATAGGCAAAGCTACCGGTTATTCAATGTGATCTACAAATAGTGCAAATAAAAAAATAAAATATGAGCTACAAATATTTAGAATAATATTTCTCAAACTTCAGTGTACCAAACTTTAGAGATATAAGCTTCACCCAAGTAGTTTCTTAAAAACTGGAGAGTTCAACCTCCCAGCACTCAGTAATTCTGAATTACTAGTTCCGCAGGAGGTCTAAGAATGTACATTTTTTTCACAAAAACATTAGGTAATTTTGTTGCAAATGGTTCCAGGGGTCATATTAAAGAAACAAACAAAGAAGCAAAACCTTCTACAAAGTCTATACTCAGATAAAAGGAAATTTCCAATAATATCCTATAATAAAATACTGCTGTAGTATTTTAAAATCTGGATACATAGTCTGCAATTAGAAGAGATTTACTTTTAAAAATTGAAAGCATTTTAGCCATTTTATGAACAAGTTATGTAACTGCCCAGTGGGTTCATCTTGCTTGTTGCCTAGATCAAGCTGATTTATCAGGACAGAAGGATTGCAATAGAGAAAGAGTTTAATACATGTAGAGCCAGCTAAGAGGGAGACTGGAGTTTTGTTATTACTCTGATCAGCCTCGTTGAAAATTTAAAGGTGGCCGGATGAGGTGGCTCATGCCTATAATCCCAACACCTTAGGAAGCCAAGGTGGGCAGATTGCTTGAGCCCAGGAGTTCAAGACCAGGCTGGGCAACGTAGCAAAGCCCCATCTCTACAAAAAATGCAAAAATTAGCCAGGCATGGTAATGTGTGCTGTTGGTCCCAGCTGCTCTGGGAGCTGAGAAAGGAGGGTGCCCTGAACCCAGGAGGTCAAGGCTGCAATGAGCTGTGATCACAGCACCCCATTCCAGCCTGGGTGACAGAGTGAGAACTTGCAAAAAAAAAAAAAAAAAAAAAAAAAAAAAAAAAGAAAGAAAGAAGGAAGGAAGGAAGGAAGGAAGGAAAGAAAGAAAAAGAAAGAAAGAAATAAAGAGAAAGAAAGAAAGAAAGAAAATAAAATAAAATTTGGGGCTAGGATCTTTCAAAGACAGTTTTGTTACCAGAAAGGGGTCCTGATCCAGACCCCAAAAGAGGGTTCTTGGATCTCACACAAGAAAGAATTTGGGGTGGGTCCATAGAGTAAAGTGAAAGTGATAGTAACAGAAGGCAGCCAATGCCTAGGCAGATAGAGGTGGGTCCCTGGTGAAAGCCCACCTCCAAGCCAAAGACAGCCTGAAGCCTGAAAGCCAAACTAGCAGTTAAATTCTCAGACCAGATTGAGGACTTGTCCTCCTGGTTTGGCATGCTTTCCTCTAATTGATCCCCATCCTTCCTCTATTTTACTTATACCCACCCATTCCTAATTGGTTTTATACTCTGTCCTGCTCACTTTTGAGTAGTGTCTTTGCTTTAACCTTTTTTGCATACTCACAAATCAATCGGTACACACTTCTCATCCTGTGCCTATAAAGACCCTAAACTCAGTCAGTAGAGGGGAGATGGCCTGGCTTTGGGGAAGAGACAACCTGACTTCAGAGAAGACAACCTGCCCTTCCATCCCCTCTCCTCCTTCCTTTTCCAGCTCCCCTCTCCACTGAGAGCCATTTTCATCACTCAACAAAATTATCTGCCTTCACCATCCTTCAAACATTCATGTGACCTCATTCTTCTAAGACACTGGACAAGCGCTCAGGACCCACCAAATGCAGTACCCAGAAAAGTCTGTCACACTGACCCTTTGCCCATGCTGGCAGAGAGAAGCCACCCACATGACGAGGCAAGAGGCCAAATGAGTTGCTAACACACTGCTATCCATCGGAATGCAGATGGTGGAACTAAAACAGCACTGTAACATTCCATCTGGGGCTCCGAGGTTGTGGGTATCCTCACCTGGGCACCACTGCATTCCCCTCCAGGCGATATGCCTGGTCTGGCCACAGGCCCTGTACAGAGCTTGCTACTGTGTTGGTGCCCAGAGCGGCTGGCCAGATCCTGCACTTGCTCATTTATGTGTTCCCTCCCACAAGGGGCTGAGCTTGGTGGGCTGAGGTGGGCACCCCAGCCATGAGTCCAGTGAAGGGCCTGAGAAAAATCCCACATCAACAGCAAGTTTATTAAAAAGTGAAGGAATAAAGGATAGCTACTCCATAGGCAGAGCAGCGGCTTGAGCTGCTGGCCTAAAATACCTATAGTTATTTCTTGATTATATGCTAAATAGGGGCAGTTTATTCATGAGTTTTCTGGAAAAGGGGTGGGCAATACCTGCAGCTGAGAGTTCCTTCCTTTTTTAGACCATATAGTGTAACTTCCCAACATTGCCATGACATCTGTAAACTGTTGTGGTATTGGTGGGTATGTCTTTTAACATGCTAATGCATTATAATTAGTGTATAATGAGCAGTGAGGACAACCAGAGGTCAGTTTTATCACCATCTTAGTTTTGGTGGGTTTTGGCCAGCTTCTTACTGCAGCCTGTTTTTTCAGTAAGGTCTTTATGACCTGTATCTTGTGCCGACCTCCTACCTCATCCTGTGACTTACAATGTCTAACCTCCTGAAAATGTAGCCCAGTAGGTCTTAGCCTTATTTTACCAAGCCACCTTACAAGATGGGCTTGCTTAGTTTTCAATGCCTCTGACAGTTTGACAGTGAGGGGCTAGGGAATGAGTGCTGCTAATTGGTTGGGGATGCAATCATAGGGTTGTGTAAAATGATTCTTGCGTGCTAAGTCTGCTTCTGGCTGGGGGTTACAGGACTGGTTGAGTCAAAGGTCACAGGTTCAGGTGAAGCCATCTGGTCATCAGAGACAGAGAAGCCTGATAAGACATCTCAAAAGGATAATCGTAGGTTCTACAATGTGATCGTATTTACAGGAGTAATTGGGGAAGTTGGAAATCTTGTTATCTCCAGAATAATGGCTGGTAAAGACTTAACTATGAATTCAGACCCTTCTCATTCTCCTAACCTGGTGGCCTTTTATTAGTTTAACAAAGGTAGTTTAGATTTTGGGGAAGGGCTTTAATCATTTAAAACTATCAACCAAATTTCTCCCAAAGTTAGTTTGGCCCATGACCCGGAAAAACCAAGGGCAGTTTGCAGGTAAAAGGCAAGATAGAGTTGGTTATGTCATATCTCTTTCACTGTCATAATTTTTTCACTGTTATAATTTGTGAATACAATTTCAATTATTCCTTAATATTTAATGATCTTCAAAGAGAAAAGAATCTTAGTATGATAATTTAGTTATGTTACTTCAAATATCAGTTATTTAAAATATGTGCAGAGTATTACAGTCTTGGTCATGCACACTCTATTTGGTGTTCAGTGAAAGCTAAATTTAAATAATTTAACAACTACAGCTGAAACACTGTAGAACTGACATTTCATATTTCTCCATGTTTTATGTATACAGACACCAACAATAATGTATATTATATTCCGAACAATCAAATATTTTTAACATATTGAAAGGTGTGTGTTATAAAAAGATGTTAAGAATTTTGTATGACATTGTATTCACATATATAAAAATGAACAAGTCCATAATTATTTAATGTTGTGAACTATGAGAGCAATATATATTATTTTATTTAAAATTATATTGAAAAATTTATTTTCTCAGTCCAGCATCAACATCGAGTTTCCATAAATGTCAACTGAGCCTTTTCTATGTGCAAGGCACTGTGTTAGAAGCTATAATGGACAAAAATGTTTTTGCTTATTATCTAGTAGCAAAGAGAAGAATTTTAATAAACACAACAAATATTATGCTTTGCAGCTATCTTTTACCCCCATACTTCCTTACATATATAAGCACAATGTATAGAACATGAATTTGGTACTTGGCAAGCCAATTAACCTCTCAAGACTCTCCATTGCTTTATCTGTTAAAACAGGAAAAGTATTACTTGCCTTATAAAGTTTTTATGAGAATAAATGAGATAATGAATGTAGTTCATAGTAGGTGGCTTGTGTTGATTGTTGTTATTTTGAGTGGTCATAGAATACTTTGTGGTTTTGGATATTGCAACTGCAATCATCTCTGTAGAACACGGCTTGGTGCCTTAAAAAATTATGCTCAGATTTCAAGAGGGTCAGCACAAAGTGGATCAATGAGTTGAGACAGAGACTTCTGAAATATAGTCTTCCAAAGGTCATTGAATAGTATCATTGGAAAAAATATTCATTGAATTGTACCATTGTGAAAAACGGCAAAGCATCAAAATAAATTTATTATCTCTGGGTTCATCAGTTTAGATTACCAGTAACCAAACCTAGAGAGTTAATTTCTCTGTTGAGCCATTATATTAAACTTCTAACCAGTTTGTGTTTTATAAAATAGAGTCTTAAATAAATTGTTCAGGTTTCTGACTGATAGATACAGTATACCCTGATTAAAATACAAGAAGTAATTTCTAATTGAGGGCTAGTTTTGCTTGATAAAATATCACTTTTATATTGTAGAATAATTCAAATGGATTATAAATAACAGCTTCTTTCTCCTTTTCTAAAATACAAAATTGAAACTGATAATAAGTCAATATCAGTGTTTTTGGAGGGAGGAAACTTTTGGCAGCTTTTATATATAATCATCTCAGCTCCCACATTATAATCTTATTAAGAACAACCCAGGTTGGCCAGGTGGGTGGCTCACACCTGTAGTCCCAGCACTTTGGGAGGCTGAGGCAGGTGGATCACGAGGTCAGGAGTTTCAAGACTAGCCTGGCCAACATGATGAAACCCCGTCTCTACTAAAAATACAAAAAAATTAGCCGGGTGCGGTGACACCCACTTATAGTCCCAGCTGCTTGGGAGGCCAAGGCAGGAGAATCACTTGAACCCGGGAGGCAGAGGTTGCAGTGAGCCGAGATCGCGCCATTGCACTCTACCCTGGAGCGACGGTGCAAGACTCTGTCAAAAAGTAATAATAATAAAAATAAATAAAACCCAGGTATTTGTTGTTTTCCAAAAGTCACAATGTTTCATAGATTTCTGTTTCTGTAGCATTTTTTGAAGCACGTAAGTATAAAAATATTAGAGTAATACAGATGTTAAAGGTTTCAAAATCCTTGTTCATGCTCATCCTCTTCTTTGTTGTTTTTAACAGATAAATATGCTTTAATTTTTATAATTATTGTCAAAAATTGAGTAGTTTGGAATGCTAAAACCATTGTGGCCAACTGTTTTTTGCCCCCTGGACTCTCTAAAATTCTGCATATATGTGTTGTAAATATATACTCTAGATTCATGTGTTTGTAACATTGAAAAGTGAATCTGGGTGCTCTAGCTTTCTCTCTCTCTCTCTCTCTCTCTCTCTCTCTCTCTTTCTCCTTGTACTGGTTTTTGTTGTTGTTTCACATTTTTTGTTTTTTATTTAACTTGGCTCACTTCTTAACCTAATCCAGTACATGTTCTGAAACTGCAACAATATCAATTTTTAACAAAAATCTTGGTTGAGTAAATACTTAAAATAGTTAATACAAAAGTATTTTGTCCTGGAAACAGCAAATTCATTAAAGATCAGTTGCTAAATAAATAACTGTCAGGTCCTGTAGAAGACCTGTAGAAACAGGGCTATTTACCTCCTATAGTCAGTATTTAATCTCCGTTGTAGAAGATAGCCAATGTTGCCTACATAATCTAAGTTTCAGATCAGTCCCTGATTAAATTAATGCAAATAACTACTCTTTGCTCTATGAATATTGCTGGGTTAAAAACGAAAGTTTGCAGGAAAGCAAATTGAGGCAAACAGCAAAGAATAGAGGCTCTTAGTCTTCAGAAAAAATATTTTTAACAATGTAACTTTTGAAATACAAGTTGACCCTCCAACAACATCGGTTTGAACTGCACAGGTCCACTTATGTGCTGATTCTCTTTTGCCTCTCCCACACTTGAGATAGCAAGACCAACCCATCCTCCTCTTCAGCGCACTAAATGGGAGGACAATGAAGATGGAGACCTTTATGATGATTCACTTCCACTTAATAAATAGTAAATATATTTCCATTCCTTACAACTTTCTTAATATTTTCTTTTCTCTAGCTTACTTTCTTATAAGAATACAGTATATAATATACACAACAGAAAACATGTTAATCAACTGTTTTTGTTATCAGTAAGGCTTCCAGTCAACAGTAGGCTATATGTGGTTAAGTTTTGGTGGAGTCAAAAGTTACATGGGGCTTTACGACTGTACGGTGGCTGGCGCTCCTAATCCCTGCCTTGTTCAAAGGTCAATTCTATGCTTTTTCCTTGAAGAAGTCTCAAGATGGGCCGGGCGCGGTGGCTCATGCCTGTAATCCCAGCACTTTGGGAGGCCAAGGCGGGCGGATCACGAGGTCAGGAGATCGAGACCATCCTGGATAACACGGTGAAACCCCGTCTCTACTAAAAATACGAAAAAATAGCCGGGCGTGGTGGCGGGTGCCTGTAGTCCCAGCTACTAGAGAGGCTGAGGCAGGAGAATGGCGTGAACCCGGGAGGTGGAGTTTGCAGTGAGCCAAGATCCTGCCACTGCACTCCAGCCTGGGCGACAGAGTAAGACTCTGTCTCAAAAAAAAAAATAAATAAAAGAAGTCTCAAGACGAACATTTTATAACTGACTATCTTATGATAATTAACATTTATGTTATAGGTTTTTAAATTATTGATTTGGTAAAATTAAAAAATGGAAACTGTAAAAATGATTGTTAAACACTACATCTGCTAAGTTACATTTTCAGATTAAATAATAATGGTGTACTTTCACATGATTTTTTAAATGTATTTGTAACTAAATTAATAAAATAGTTTAAGCAAACTTTTCACTATTTTATCTGTAGTATCAAATATTTATATATTTATGCTGACAAAATAGCCCTTTTGTCTTTTCACTGGGAAAGTGGGAGATGAACTTGTATTTGTGGTTGTTTATATTTGGGCTGCTATTAACAAGGGCTAATTCTTACCAGAGTCCAAAAGCATGTGAGAGGTCAGGACAAAAATGTCTGATTGGTTTATTGTGATAATAGTGAAATTGACAGAAATAGGGAAGTCAGGAAAGAGCTGCCAGTTGTGAGAAGAGGCAAAGGATCAAATGTAATATTTGGCTGACAATTTGATTTGGTAGTTAAGCCAAAGGAGCAGGTAGGATTGGGAATCAGGACAAATTACATTCAACAAGGTAAAGGGTTTGCAATTTTAAGAACCTTCAAAAAATATTCTGGATTAAGAAGTATTAAGTTTACCTGTCTATTCTAATACATGCATTTATACAATAATCATTAAACTTCATCACACTAACTTTCAAAACTTTTTCTTAACATATAACTTGAAGACCATGGTCTATGAGGTCTATGTTTGATATTGACAACATTACATGATTAACAGTTGAAGCAAATGGAAATATAATACTTCTGACAACATTTTATGTTTTTGTGAAAGTTTTATTTTAATAATATTCTTACTTTGCATCAGAATTAAATCAAGAGGTAGGCTGCACGACCTCTTAAAGTTTCTTCCAATCTACCAATTCTTGATTCTTAAATGTACAATTCTCATAGTGCCAGGATATTTAAATAACTCTATCCTTTAAGAAATAAATAAATAAAAATAAATGCTTTCTCGCTTGTATATTTAGGTCCAATTCATGTTTGCTTCACTGCTTCCAAACTCCTTGGGGTTGTTCCAAGGTTGTAAGAGGAGACTTGCTGATGGGTGCACAGTATAATTATGCTGCAGTTGAGCACCTTCCCTCCCACCACCTGAAAATCAGAGGAGGAGTATGAAAGCATTTGCAGAAGAGAGTTCAACTCATCATTATTCATATACCTAGAAACATAAAGTACAATATATGGGATGATAGAGCACATGTAAATCGATAATTGTAACCAGCTTAAAGAACAAACAAAAAAGCACATGAATTCATGTCCCTTTCTCCAATTCTGCTTTCCAAAAACAGGTTTGTTTGTTTGTTGGTTTGTTTGTTTGTTTGTTTGTTTTCACCTCCTCTCCCAGCCCATCAACCCTCAGTGCTGAGTCTTAGGCACTGATTTTGCTGATTTGATGGATACAGCAGAAAAGAAAATCTGAAAGAATGCTAGAACTGGAATTGCTTTACACTGGAAAAGCCATGAAAGTATCACTGAGGAAGAGAAGGGCATGGAAGGTGTGGGGACAGACATCAAAGAGTAGGTGGGGTAGAGAGTGTATTTGAGTGCAAGCGTGAGAGGAAGAGGGTAGAGAGGAGACTTGGGCTGCCAATGGGAATGGAATTTGGGTGGAGAGAAGTGAATAAAGCGTACATTATGAAGTGTTTTTGCTAGAGCAAAACATTCACTGCACAATGTACGCTTTATTCACTTCACAATGTATGGTCTACTTATACTCCCTCCTATTACTTCCTTGTTAAGAAATTTCAGAGAAGATTTCTTACTAAAAAAAATTCCAACATTTTGTAATTTGGTTTATGATTTTTTTAAATGCAATCAAAAGCACCCTGAAGAAAGACTAGAAGACTCAGATATTATCAGGCTTGTCGGAAACAGGTATGACATAAACACAAAGTCAGATAAATCAAAACTCAACACAGGAACTTGTTTTCCCATCAGAAGTGCAAATCTAATAAAATAAGATCGTTAGGGAGAGAGACTTGTCCACTAAGTAGATTCTGCCTTCTGGGTAATTAATGTGTCTGAGACTCCAAACCTAATAATTGTTTAGAGATTAACTCAGCAAAAAGTAAAGAATGAGAGGAAGAGCTGTGACTGTGTGTGTGTGTGTTTGTGTGTGTGTGTGTGTGTGTGTGTGTGAGATGGATGGAAAAGATGCTGAAAAGAAGTTCCAGTTTTCCTGCCTAAAAAGACTTTTCTGGCTGGTCAAGCCTGGTAGGTTAGACTGCTGGAAGAGCTCTTCAAAATGCCCAAAGTAATGGCCTTGAGTCTCTGAACTCTTGAGACCACCATATAAATGTATACATGTGAAATGATATATAATCCTTTGAAGGTTGTATACTTTATTAGGAGTATGTAAGATTATTTTAATGTTTATCCTGCCAGGCAGTATTTTATTTATTAAATTTAATTTTCTTAATGCCCTAGTCAAAACTCCAACACTTAAAACTGAACAGGCTAACATGGTCCACTTGTCACATTTCCTTTAAATACTTCTCACAGCACAATTAATACATATTCACTAGGGAAAATTAAAAATTCCAAATAAAGAAAGAAAACAACTAAAACCTTTACAGCTGCTCTTAACATTTTAGCATGTGTATATATATTTACACATATTTAGTATATATAGTGTATATATTTATACATAGTGTATATATATGCATATAAAATATGTGTAAGTATATATATATCTATACAAAATATGTGTAAATGTAGTATATAATACACACTAAATATATGTAAATATATAATATATATTTCATACATAAGCATTAATATTTTATTTATTCTAAAAATGTAATAATATATACTTTTGTAATCTTATTTCACATATAGATTACATTTCCACATCAAGGAAGAAAAGTTTATATCATTGCTTTAATTATACGACTGTGTCATAATTTATTACTAATGTATATTTAGGTTGTTTCCATATTCCATATTTCATGGTATTATGAAATTCTGTCTTCTTTTGGGCTCTTCTAGAAGCAAACTGAGCAAAGATTTGAGACAATTAATGTATTTGAGAGGTACAGGGAAGTGGGAAGTTAATCAGAAGGCATGGCTCACTAATACATGGTGTGTTATCAAACTGACTACCACTATAGTCAACTGGAGCTTAATCCTACTTGGAAAACTCTGAAGGCTAGTGTAAAACAAAGGCCTGAAAAATGTCTGACAGGAAGAGGGATGGACCTGGGTATCTAAATATCAAATCTGAATGCTCATTGATTGAAGACTGTTTCCAGGAAGAAAAGCACATTAATTCCATAGCCCTTAATTCCACATAATTCCATAAAAAAGTACATAATTCCATAGCCTTTCCAACCAGCTACATAGGTGGCAAAGCAGGCTTCCATGGCAAAGAAAGCTCTCAGGCAAAGAAATATTTGTCCTGGACAATGTAAGTAAGGCCAGTGTGAACTTCAACCATAAAAGCAAGAAAACAGGAGTGGAGCTCCAAAGGTGTCTGTGACAGTCCATCTCTTACACTACAGAGATCCACCCATGGGCCATACTAATTTCATTCTGCCCTCTTATGTCTTTTCCAATTTGGTGGACAGTCACAATTTCTGAAGAGAGAATACAATAGGAGAGTAAATAGTACAATTTACAGCTGTCACCGCTGCAGCTGGATCAGAGACCACCATTGATATTCATCGTCTCCCTTCTATTCCATTCATTATCTCCCTTCTATCCCATTCAATCTCCATCTTACCCATTGTAGATCCCCTTCACCCTTGGCCAACATGTCCACTGACCCAGAAAATTCACCAAAGCCTTTATCTCTGAGGAGCTTCAGCCCTTACATTTTTACATTCTTATGAAGCCATGGTTATTACCGTTGACGATTTATTATTATTACTGGGTGTGGAGACAATACGAGGCATCTCAGTGGATACTGTGGGGTTTTAAACATAATACTACCTGCCCCTATTACGTGGATATAGTAACTCTATCGTCTCAGGATAGTCAATTGCTTCTGCCAGCAAAGTAACTTCTCTTTTGCCTGCTAGTCATTTGGATAAGAAGCCTAAAATGACCAGGTGGCAGCTATAACTTTAGGTTTGGTGGAAATTATTTCTTGTCTTGGTAGAAGATTTCCCCCATCACCTCTTCTGAAACTGGAACCTCTAGGCTAGCAGAGCCTAAAGTTGAGGGAATGGAAAATATAAATGCCTCAAGTGTGGATCACTGGGAGATATGGTAGGAGGCCATTGTTATTTTCATCCTTTGTCTCCAGATATGCATATTTTGTCAACTAGGGACACAGCACTAGTAATGTTTCAAAACATGTACCTCATCCTGAAGTTTCCCCAATATCCTAGAGCTGTTTCTAAGCTGAATGACTTCAATATTCTATAGGCCAGCAGCTTCAAGGCAATGAAGTATATGAAAGAAATAATGAATCTCATATGCCCACTGTTGTACCTTCTTTGCCTTAACAGGGTGATATGGTTTGACCTGTGTCCCCACCCAAATGTCAAATCATAATCCCCACGTGTCAAGGGAGGGAGCTGGTGAGAGGTGATTGGATCTTGGGGCTGGTTTGTCCCAATCTCTTCTCGTGATAGGGAGTTCTCACGAGATCTGATGATTTAAAAGTGGCAGTTTCTCCTGTGCACTCTCTCTGTCTCTCTCCTGCCACCATGTAAGACATGTCTTGCTTCCCCTTCACCTTCCGCCATGATTGTAAGTTTCCTGAAGCCTTCCTAGTCATGCAAAAGTGTGAGTCAATTAAACCTCTTTCCTTTATAAATTATCCAGTCTCAGGTATTCTTTATAGAGTTGTGAAAATGGACTAATACACAGGGGTTCCTTGGTATTAGGCAATGTAATGCAGCTTCACATGCTAATAAATTACATTCTATGGGCCCTTGAATAGTGTTAATGGCCAGGGTAAGAAAGATAAACCCATTCCCAGAAATATCAAACTCAGGCAGTATGAACAGCTGCCTCCTTAAAAATGGAAGAGATCCAGAATAATCAGCCAGTGCCTGGATGGTCTTGTATTAAAGGATGGTCTCTGTCTTGGTCCATTTGTGTTGCTATAAAGTACCTGATACAGGGTAACTTAGAAAAACAATTTTTTTCTTACAGTTTTGGAGGCTGTAAAGTCCAATATCAAGGCATTGGCAGCTTTGGTGTCTGGTGAGGGCTGCTCTCTGTTTCTAAGAAGATGCTTTATTGCCACCGCCTCTGGAGAGGACAAACACTGTGTTTTCACATGGCAGAAAGGATGGAAGAACAAACAAAATGGCTGGATTCCTTGTGAAACCTCTTTTATAAAGACTTGTTAATCCCATTCATGAGGGAGGAGCACTCATGACCTAATTATCTCCTAAAGGCCCCACATCTTAGTATTGTCACATTTGCCATAAAATTTTAACATATGAATTTTGGCGGACACATTCAGACTCCAGGATTCTCATTTTGAGTGATGAGCATTATTTTGACAGTTCAGCATTGGTCACTAACGAAGAGAAGTTGAACATTCATTAATCAAAATAGGTAGGTCAGCTGTAGTGAAAATAAGCCCATACATAAGCCTTAGTTACATATAACTTAGTTATATATATGTATGTAAGGCCCCACACTGTAGGGCCTTGCATAGCATTCTTCATCCTCAGCACCATGTGTAAGCACTGTGGTGGCAGAGGACAGAGGCTAGCTAATCTATGCTTAAATAGTCATGAATCATCCCATCTCACTGGTTCTTCAATGTCTTCTCTGAGTTCCTAAATTTCATACACTTTGTACTCACTCCCATAGGTCCATCTATAAGCTTTTGAATTCTTTCAATCTTTCTCCATCCAGGCCCTTGACAAACCATCCAAGTAATTAACCTTACCTTAATCTACTTCTTCCTTCACACAAAGAAGATGTCCAAGTATATGGCTTGAAGCTATGCCTATTGAGAGGAATTTTTCTCACTATCGTATTTAAGGGCCATCCTTGATTGAGTCTATAGTGTGGAATTAGTCCATTTTTGGTTTGTACCAATATCTTGAGTCACCCATCCAGGAAAGAGGCCTGCATTTGTCCTCCTTAGTCAACTGGATGTTGACTATGAATCACAAGACCATAGGTGTGAGCAGAGGGAGAAGTATTAGTGCAACATAGAGAGAATGCAGGAGATAGGGCCTACTATTCACATAACTTGTGGGTTTTGTATGTGCTTAGCAACAACCATGAATGTTTTCCTTCTGCTGAATGCTCCTGATTGACAGTATGACTTGGTGGGTTTACATAGCTCATAAGGGAGACCCTAAACTGAATAGTCATCTTACTTGATGTACCATTATCAGGTCTTTTGTTAGGTCTGTGAGTCATAGCAGTATGGCAGGAGCAGCTTGTCAAAAGGTAAATAGTTATTTACTGCAGAAAGCAGGGTCTTACTTCTGAACTCTAGTAGTCTGTGTTGTGTCTATCTTATTGGAGTCTGTGAGAGACACCACATGTCTTGCCATGAATATCTCTAGCAACACGGGATCTGCCAAGTTATATGGTCCCACTAGCAGCGTGAAGTTGCTACAAAGCCCTCTCTTGCTCTAGATCCTACTTGAAATGGGCATTCTCACAAGTCATCGAATAAATAGGTCTGAATGGTGTTTCAAAATGTGGTATATGATATCTCTAAAAGTGTAAGGGACTACTAAGACCTATGCTACTTTCTTAGAGGCAAAAGTTGTAAAGTGCAATTACTTGTGCTCTATTTTGGATACAATATGCAATAAATTCTCCTTTATGTTGGAGGAGATGTCTTGGTATATTATAGTTCACTGGAGTCTTAAATCTTCACTAATGTGGCAGACTCATTACCTTGAGATTTTGAGAAAATAGCTTTATTCAAATACAGTTACATATAATAAAACTTACCCCTTTAAAGTATACAATGGTTTTTTAGAAAATTAACGGATTTGTAAAATTGTCAATATTATCTAATTTTAGAACATTTTAATTATTCTAACAAGAAACCCTATACCCACTACCCAGCATTCCTCATTATTCTCACTCCCTAACTCTAAGCAATTACTAGCCTACTTTCTATAAAGATTGGTCAATTATAAAATTTCCATATAAGTGGAATAATTGGAGATTCATGTATGTTATCACATGTATCAGTATAATGCTGAATAAAAGTGAAGAAAGTATATATGCTTGTCTTGTTCCAGATCTTAGGGGAAAGTATTCAGTCTTTCTTCATTAAGTTTGATGCTGGCTATGGGTTTTCTGTAGATGCCATTTAGGAGGTTGAAGAAGTTTCTTAGTTTCTTAAAGTTTTTGTTTTATATCATAAAAATGTTTTCGATTTTGTCCAATTTTTTTTTGCATGTACTGATATATTAGTCCATTTTCACACTGCTGATAAAACATACCTGAGATTGGACAATTTACAAAGAGGTTTAATGGACTTGCAGTTCCACATGGCTGGAGAGACTCATAATCATGGTGGACAGTGAAAGGTGCATCTCACATGGCAGCAGAGAAGAGAAGAGAGCTTGTGCAGGGAAACTCTGCTTTATAAAACCATCAGATTGGCCAGGCGTGGTGGCTCATACCTGTAATCCCAGCACTTTGGGAGGCCAAGGTGGGCAGATCACAAGGTCAAGAGATCTAGACCATCCTGGCTAACACGGTGAAACCCTGTCTCTACTAAAAATACAAAAAATTAACCGGGTGTGGTGGCAGGCGCCTGTAGTCCCAGCTACTCGGGAGGCTAAGGCAGGAGAATAGCATGAACCTGGGAGGTGGATCTTGCAGTGAGCTGAGATCATGCCGCTGCACTCCAGCCTGGGTGACAGAGTGAGACACCATCTCAAAAAAACAACAATAAAAAAAATCAGATCTCTTGAGATTTATTCACTATCATGAGAATTGCATAGGAAAGACCCATTTCCATGATGCAATTACCTCCCACTGGGTCCCTCCCACAACACATGGGAATTCAAGATGAGATATGGGTGGGCACACAGCCAAACCATATTATTCCACCCTTGGCCCCTCCCAAATCTTATGTCCTCACATTTCAATACCAATCATGCCTTCCCAACAGTCCCCAAAGTCTTAACTCATTTCAGCATAAACTCCAAAGTCCACAGTCCAAAGTCTCATTCGAGACAAGGTGACTCCCTTCAGCCTATGAACCTGTAAAATCAAAAGCAAGTTAATTACTTCCTAGATACAATGGGGGTATAGGCACTGGGTAAATACAGCCATTCCAAATGGGAGAAATTGGTCAAAACAAAGGGGCCACAGGCCCCATGCAAGTTCAAAATCCAGCGGGGCAATGAAATCTTAAAGCTCCAAACTGATCTCCTTTGACTCCATGTCTCACATCGAGGTCACACTGATGCAAGAGGTGGGCTCCTACAGTCTTCGGTAGCTCCACCTCTGTGGCTTTGTAGGGTATAGCCCTGCTTCTGGCTGCTTTCACATGCTGACATTGAGTGTCTGCAGCTTTTCCAGGCACATAGTTCAAGCTGTAGGTAGATCTACCATTCTGGGGTCTGGAGGACTGTGGCCCTCTTCTCACAGCTCCACGGATGCCCCAGTAGGTTCTCTGTGTGGGGTCTCCAACGCCACATTTCCCTTCTGCACTGCCTTAGCAGAGGGTTTCTGTGAGGGCCCTGCGCCAGCAGCAAACGTCTGCCTGAGCATCCAGGCATTTCCAAACATCCTTTGAAATCTAGGCCAAGGTTCCCAAACCTCAATTCTTGACTTCTGTGTACCCGTAGGCTCAACACCACATGGACGCTGCCAAGACTTGGCAACAGCCCAAGCTATACCTTGGCCCCTTTTAGTCATGGCTGGAGCAGCTGGGATGCAGGACACTAAGTCCCCAGACTGCATACAGCAGAGAGACCCTGGGCCCAGCCCAGGAAACCATTTTTTCCTTCTAAACCTCTGGGCCTGTGATGGGAAGGGCTGCCGCAAAGATCTCTCATATGCCCTGGAGACACGTTGCCCATTGTCTTGGTGATTAACATTTGGCTCCTCGTTACTTATGCAACCTCAGCTTGAATTTCTCAGAAAATGGGCTTTTCTTTTCTATCGCATTGTCAGGCTGCAAATTTTCCAAACTTTTATGCTCTGTTTCCCTTTTAAAACTGAATGCCTTTAACAGCACCCAAGTCACCTTTTGAATGCTTTTCTGCTGAGAAATTTATTCCACTAGATACCCTAAATCATCCCTCTCAAGTTCAAAGTTCCACAAATCTCTAGGTCAGGGGCAAAATGCTACCAGTCTCTTTGCTAAAACATAACCAGAGTCATCTTTGCTCCATTTCCCAACAAGTTCCTCATCTCCATCTGATACCACCTCAGCCTGGATTTCATTGTCCATATCATTATCAGCATTTTGGTCAAAGTCATTCAACAAGTCTCTAGGGAGTTCCAACTTTCCCACATTTTCCTGTCTTCTTCTGAGCCCTCCAAATTGTTCCAGCCTCTGTCTGTTACCAAGTTCCAAAGTTGCTTCCGCATTTTTGGGTATCTTTACAGCAGCACCCTGCTCTACTGGTACCAATTTACTCTATTCCATTTTCACACTGCTGATAAAGACATACCCGAGACTGGGCAATTTACAAAAGAAAGAAGTTTAAAGGATTTAACAGTTCCACATGTCTGGGGAGGCTTCACAATCATGGTGGAAGATAAAAGGCACATCTCACATGGCAGCAGACAAGAGAAGAGAGCTTGTACAGGAAAACTCCCCTTTATAAAATCATCAGATCTCATGAGACTTATTCACTATCACAAGAACAGCACAGGAAAGACCTGCCCCCATGATTCAATTACGTCCCACAGGGTACCTCCCACAACACATGGGTATTCAAGATGAGATTTGGGTGGAGACACAGCCAAACCATATCAATTGAGATAACCATATGCTATTTTGTCCTTTATTCTATTAAGATGGTGTAAAAGATTACCAGATGTTTAAACAACCTTGCATTCCTGGGATAAATCCCATTTAGTCATGATGTTTAATTCTCTTTACTTATCAATGAATTTTGTTTGCTACTCTTTTGCTTAAGGTTATTTGTGTATACATTCATAAGAGATAATGATCTGTCGCTTTTTTCATGTTTTGTTTTTGTTCATTTTTGATATCAAAGTAGATTGAATTGACACATGTTCCCTTCTATTTATTTGGAAGAGTTTGTGATGGATTGACATTAATCCTTTAAACTTTTGGCAAAACTCACTGGTGAAGCCATCTGAGCCTGGACTTTCCTTTGTGGAAAGTCTAATTATTATTTAATCTCTTGACAGGTTTATTGAGATTTCCTATTACTTCTTGAGTAAGTTATGGTAGTTATTGCCTTTCCAGGAGTGTGTCCATGTTATTTTTTTCTAATTTGTCAGGTTGTTTATAGTATTCTTAATCTTTTTCATTTCTTAATGTCAGTAGTGATGTTTTTCTTTTATTCTTAATTTTGGTAATTTAAGTTTTCTCTTTTAAAATTTTTCAGTCTAGGTAAACTTTTTGTCGATTTTGTCGATTGTGTTAAGAAGCAACTGGTTTTATTGATTTTTTCTCTATTTTAAAAAATATTCTCTACTTCCTTTATTTCTGCTCTAGTATTTATTATTTCTTTCCTTCCATTTTCTTTAGGTTTGGTTTCCTCTACTTTTTCTAGTTTTTTCCTTTTTTTAATTTAAATTTAAACTTGTATTTTAGATATGATGCTAAGTGTGCAGGTTCATTACATGGGGAAATTGTGTGATGCTGAGGTTTGGAGTATGAATCTCATCACCCAGGTAGTAAGCATAGTAGTACACTACCAGTAGGTAGTTTTCAACACATGTCCTCCTCCTTCCCTCCCCTTTCTAGTAGTCCAGAGTGTCTATTTGTCCCACATTTATGACTATGTGTGCTCAATGTTTAGCTCCCACTTTTAAGTGAAAACATGTAGTATTTGGTTTTACATTCCTGTGTTAATTTGCAAAGGATTGTGGCCTCCAACTGCATCCACATTATTGCAAAGGGCATGATTTCATTCTTTTTTATTGCTGTGTATTATTCCATGGTGTATGTGTACCACATATTCTTTATCCAGTCTACCACTGATGGGCACCTGGGTTGATTTCATGTCTTTGCTGTTGCGAATAGTGCAGTGATGAGTCAATTCAAGTGCATATATCTTTTTGGTAGAATAATTTATTTTCCTTTGGGTATATGCCTTGTAATGGGATTGCTGGGTTGAATGGTAGCTCTGTTTTAGGTTCTTTGAAAAATCTCCAGACTGCTTTACACAGTGGCTGAACTAATTTGTATTTCTACTAACAGTTTATAAATTGTCTCTTTTCTCTGCAGCCTTGCCAGCATCTGTTGTTTTTTGACTTTTTAATAATAACAATTGGTGTGAGATAGTATCTTTGTGATTTTATGGTTTTAATTTGCATTTCTCTGATGATTAATGATGCTAAACATTTTTTCATATGTTTGTTGGTCAC
The DNA here is from genome assembly GCF_000001405.40 of Homo sapiens. Lineage (NCBI taxonomy): Eukaryota > Metazoa > Chordata > Mammalia > Primates > Hominidae > Homo > Homo sapiens. Next base: position 113,668,179 of record NC_000007.14, on the reverse strand, counting down.
ATTTTTTTTTTTTTTTTGAGACGGAGTCTTGTTCTGTCGCCCAGGCTGGAGTGCAGTGGTGTGATCTCCGCTCACTGCAAGCTCTGCCTCCCAGGTTCATGCCATTCTCCTGCCTCAGCCTCCCGAGTAGCTGTGACTACAGGTGCCCGCCACTGCGCCCTGCTAATTTTTTGTATTTTTAGTGAGATGGGGTTTCACCATGGTCTCAATCTCCTGACCTTGTGATCTGCCCGCCTTGGCCTCCCAAAGTGCTGGGATTACAGGCGTGAGCCACCATGCCTGGCATGTTGGTCACTTTTATGTCTTCTTTTGAAAAGTGTCTGTTCTTGTCCTATGCCCATTTTGTAATGAGGTTATTTGTTTTTTGCTTGTTGATTTAAGTTCTGTAGAAATTCTGGATATTAGCCTTTGTTGGATGCCCAGTCTGTGAATACCTTCTCCGATTCTGTAGGATGCCTGTTTACTCTGTTGATAGTTTCTTTTGCTGTACAGAAGCTCTGTAGTTAAATTAGGTCTGACTCATCTATTTTTGTTTTTGTTGTTAAGTGCTTTTGGGGACTTAGCCAAAAATATTTTGCCAAGGCCAATGTTGAGAAGACTATTTCCTAGGTTGTTTTCTAGGATTTTTATAGTTTGAGGTCTTACATTAAATCTTTCATCTATTTTAAGCTAATTTTTATATATGTTGAAAGGTAGGAATACAGCCTCAGTTTTTCCATATGGCTAGCCATTTATTCCAGCACCATTTTTTTGAATAGGGAGTCCTTTTTCCATTGTTTGTTTTTGTCAGCCTTGTCAAAGATCAGATGGTGGTATGTGTGTGGTTTTATTTCTGAGTTTTATATTTTTATTCCATCATCTGTGTGTCTGTTTTGTATCAGTACCATGCTATTTTGCTTACTGTAGCTCTGTAGTATATTTTGAAATCAGGTAGTGTGATGCCTCTGGCTATGTTCTAGTTTCTTAAGGTAGAAGTTTAGTTTATTGATTTACAATCTTTTTTAAAAAAAAATAGATATTTACCTTGATAAATTTACTTTTAAGCACTGCTTAAGTGGCATCCCATAAGTTCTGATACATTGTATTTTAGTTTCTTTCATCTGAAAGTATTTTCTAATTTCCTTTTGATTTCTTCTTTGGCTCATTGGTTATTTGGGAATGTGTTATTTTAGTTTCCACATATTTGTGAATTTCTCAAATTTATTTATGTTGATGATTCCTAATTTAATTCCATTGCTGTTAGAGGGCATCCATTGCATAATTTCAGTCTTTTAAATTCATTGAGTCTTGTTTTATAGCCTAGTAAATAATTTATTTTGGAGAATGTTCCATATGATCTTGAGAGAAATGTTTATTCTTCTGTTGTTGGGCATTACATAGATATCTGTAAAGTTTAGTTGATTTAGAGTTGGGTTAAATATTTCATTTTGTTGTTGATTTTTTACTAGTCATTCTATCTATTTTTGGAAGTGGGTTATTTATCTCTTCAAATATTACTGTTGAATTGTCTATTTTTCTGTACAATTTTCTTAGGTTTTTCTTCTCGTATTTTGCGGTTCTGTTTTTAGGTGCACATATGTTTATAATTTTTATATATTCTAATTTGATTTATACTCTTTTTACTATAAAATGTCTTTCTTAGTTTCTAGGAACATTTTCTGTCTTAAAGTATATTTTATCTGATATTAATGTATCCACTCTAGATTATTTATGGTACTGCTTACATAGTATGTCTTTTTTTTCTGTTAGTCTTCAAACAAGTTATATCTTTAAAGCTAAAGTGTTTTCTTATAGACACAATAGTTGAAATATGTGAAATGTTAATATTAGTCTGTCATTTGATTAGAGTTTTTAATGCATTTACATGTAATGTAATTACTGAGGGGGTAGGATTTACGTTTGCCATTTTCCTGTTTGTTTTTCATAGCCCTTATGCCTTTATAATTTCTACACTCTTTTGTGTAGTAACTTCCTTCTTTGCATTAAGTCGATAATCTATAGTGTACTTTGTTGTTTATTTTACTGTATATATTTTTGAAATATTATCCCTATGTATGTCCTGGCAGCTATCATATTAACTTAAAACAATCTATTTTGGACTGATACTAGCTTAATTTCAATACTACAATCTTCTAATAAACCTCCTTTCCTCACCTTTCCTTTGTACTATTATTTTCTATAATTTACATCATTACATATAAGCTGATCAATATAATTTTATAATTATTATTTTATACTGATGTCTTTAAAAGTAGATGGTAGAAAAAAGAACTACAAATAAAAATATATTTATATTCTCTTTTGTATTTGCCTATATATTTACCTTTTTAGGTACTCTTTATTTCTTACTATGGGTGTCAGTAATTATCTAGTGTTCACTTATTTTCACTATTATTATTTTTCAGCCTGAAAGATTCCCTTTAGTATTTTTTGTAGGGAAGCTCTTTTACTGATACATTCTTTCAGTTTTTGTTTATCTGGAATGTCCTAATTTCTTCCTAATGTTGAAGGAGAGCTTCGTTAAGCTATCCTAATGTTGAAGGAGAGCTTAACTGTCATATTCTTTTGAAATTTTTGAAGATGTCTCCCCATCAGCCAACTGTTCTTTGACCTCCATGGTTTCTGATGAGAACTCATTTATTAATCTAACCAGGACTACTTATATGTAATAAGTTGTTTTATCATTCACTGTTTTCTAATACTTTCTCTTTTGAAATGATATATTGTATCATTTCTGGTATTAGATATCTCTCTCCACTTACAGTTTTTTGATGTTGCTGGTTTTTCCTTTTTTTGTTTGTTTTTTTTTCTTGTTACTACCTACTTCTTTAGCATCCTGTCTGAAGTTATTTTGTAGATTTTATCTTTCCTGCAATGTTTGGGCCACCAAGATCACTGCTAGCTTTCTTTTCCTTTTTCTTTTTAAGCTTTGCTTCTTAGCGTTCACCTCTGAGCTAGTATACTTTAGTGGTCATCAAATTATTGATTGGAATACTTGTTTAAAAGCTTTTCCTATATGTCTTCCACTCTTTGCCAAGAGAATCTGTGTGAGAATTCATGCCTCATACTTCAGTAGTTTACAGGACAAGCTAAGCTTTCACTTCCTGCTTTTGTATGACCTCACATTCAGCCAGAGTTGAGTGACTGGATCATTCTGGGAAAGAATGACCAAGAAAGGACCTGGGCCTACATTCTGCATGCATGCAATCTTTCAGGTTTCCAGGAATATATCAATGTTTGACTGCTAAATGTATATGCATTAATTCATCTATTATTATGAGAAAAAGTCTTGTTTTGTCTCTAGAATTGTTTTTATCTTAAAGCACAGTTTTTCTGATATTAATATAGTCACTCCAACTCTCTAATGCTTACTGTGTTCGTGGTTTATCTTTTTATTTTTCAACTAATTTATGCATTTGAACTTAAATTTTATCTATTGTAAACAGCATATTATGGGATCTTATTTGTTAAATCTTGTTTGACCATCTCTATTAATTAGTCAATTTTGTCTATTTACATGTAACATAATTATTGAAAATGTTGTGCTTAGGTCTACCTCTTGCTATTTGTTTTTTGTTCACTACATCTCACTTTTTGTTCCTGTATTAGTTTGTTATCACCTTTGTTGGTGTTAACAAAATAGTTTTAGTATGCTTTTTTAATTTTCCTATTGACATTTTAGTTATATTTATTTTTAATGTAAAGCTTTAACGAATACATTATGCATTTTTAATTTGCCACAATTTTTTTTAAGTTACTGCTGACTTACTTCAGCTATGTATAGGAATTTGCACCATTATACTTCAACCCCTCCCCTTTTCTGTTGTTATACATAATACTACATGTGTTACAACCTAAAAATTTGGGAATACAGAATTTTTTTTGCTTTAAACAGTCATGTCTTCTAAATAAATTTCCATGAACAAAGGAAAATTTAATTCTTAGAAATATAAGACAGAGAGAATAGGGCAGAAACATAGTTGAAAAACATAATGCTTGGGCTGAGCAAGGTGGCTCATGCCTGTAATCCTAGCACTTGGGGAAGCCAAGGCCAGAAGATCACTTGAGCCCAAGAGTTTGGGGCTTGCCTAGGCAAGACGGCAAGATGCTGTTTCTACTGAAGAAAAAAAAGTAGTCAGGTGGTGTGGTGAATTCTATAGTCCCAGCTTCTTGGTAGGCTAAGGCAGGAGGATCTCTTAAGCCCAGGAATTGAAGGCCACAGTGAGTTGTGATTGTTCTACTGTACTTCACCCTGGGTGACAGAGTGAGACCTCACTTCTAATAATGATGGTGATAATAATAATAGTAATGGAATTTGCAAATTCTCCAAATTTGAGAAACACATCTCAATGAGGCTCTATATATTTATTTTAGTCATTTTATCTCTATTTCTTCAGTTTGAATAATTTATATTAATTTGGTTTCAAGTTCACTGAGTCTTACTGCTGTAGTGCCCTATTACTACAAATCCCATCCTGTTTTAATTTTCAGCACTTACACTTTTTACTTCTATAATTTCCCTTTTGATTCTTTTTTCTTTTTTATTTCTTGGCTTAGCTTCCATATCTGTTCATTGAGTATGTCTATTTTCTCCATTATGTCATTAAACATATTTATAATAGCAGTTTTAAAGCCCTTGTGTATTAATTCAAAACACCATTTTCTGTTTCTTTTGTGTTTGGTAATTTTGGATTTTATGCTGGACACAATTTTATTTTCTAGAGAATCTGTATTATTTATTATTCTTTTGAAGTGTTTTGGATTTTATTTTGACTTACAGTTAATTTGCTAGTATATTTCTTTATTCTGTCAAGCTTTGTTTTATGTTTATTAGGGTGGTCTATTTTCCATTTGTCCTAGGTCCTAATTTGTGGTCCTTAGTCTAAACAATGGCCTTCTAGGACTTTACTTGGAGACACAAAGCTCAGCAGTATCTCTCAACTCTACTCAAGATTCCTCAGCATTGCATGACTTCTAGTATTTTTGATAAGATCTCAATTCCATAGCAGCTGCTCTTTGCTACACCTCATGGTGTCTAACTCTGTATATGACATAACAAGACATCTTCAGTATAGGAATGGTTTTACTTATCTTTGTATAGTAGTCCCCCCTTATTCACGGTTTTGCTACCCACAATTTCAGTCACCCACTGTCAACCATGGTCCAAAAATTGGTGAGTAGAGTACAATAAGGCATTTTGAAAGACAGAGAAAACCAGAATCATGTAAGTTTTTATTACAGTGTATTGTTATAATTGTTCCATTTTATTATTGTTATTATTGTTGTTTTAAATAAACAACTGTTTTTTACTATATATACATATATGATAAAGATTAATTTATCATAGATATGTATATATAGTATATGTAGGATTTGGTACTATGCAGTTTCAGGCATCCACTGGGCATCTTGGAACATATCTTCCATGAATAAGGGAGTCTACTGTACTCCCTGAAGTGTCTGGTAGAGTCCTTGGCATATGGTTGACTCAATAAATGTGTGTTGAAATGAATTAAATTGAATATTCATTCAGGAATACATTTAGATTATATAAAACTTTGTAAAGAACAAAGAAATATTTTAAGAATTTTTAATTTTTTTTTAGACAGGGTCTTTCTCTGCCACCCAGACTGGAATGCAGTGGCACACTCATGGCTCACTGAAACCTCAACCTCCTGGGTTCAAGTGATTCTTCCACCTCACCCTCCCGAGTAGTTGGGACCACAGGTGTACACTATGATGCCTGGCTAATTTTCGTGTTTTTTCTAGAGACTGCATTTCACCTGTCTGCCCAGGCTGGTCTCAAACTCCTGAGCTCAAGAGATCCACATGCCTTGGCTCCCAAAGTGTTGGATTACAGGCGTGAGCCACTGTGCCTGGCCTATTTTAAGAATTTTAATATTTTCTCTAGTGTAGAGAAATCACATATTCTAAATAATTTTCAATATTTTGTTCAGTAAAACGATATAATATGGAAAGGATCTTAAGAAAGAGAAATTGCATTTACTATTTTGGAATGCTTATACCAATTTGGCTTATAAGGCTCATGTCACTGTTAAATTCATTCATTTATTTTTATTTTTATTTATTTATTTTTTATTATACTTTAAGTTTTAGGGTACATGTGCACATTGTGCAGGTTAGTTACATATGTATACATGTGCCATGCTGGTGCGCTGCACCCACTAACTCGTCATCTAGCATTAGGTATATCTCCCAATGCTATCCCTCCCCCCTCCCCCCACCCCACCACAGTCCCCAGAGTGTGATATTCCCCTTCCTGTGTCCATGTGATCTCATTGTTCAATTCCCACCTATGAGTGAGAATATGCGGTGTCTGGTTTTTTGTTCTTGCAATAGTTTACTGAGAATGATGATTTCCAATTTCATCCATGTCCCTACAAAGGACATGAACTCATCATTTTTTATGGCTGCATAGTATTCCATGGTGTATATGTGCCACATTTTCTTAATCCAGTCTATCATTGTTGGACATTTGGGTTGGTTCCAAGTCTTTGCTATCGTGAATAATGCCGCAATAAACATACGTGTGCATGTGTCTTTATAGCAGCATGATTTATAGTCCTTTGGGTATATACCCAGTAATGGGATGGCTGGGTCAAATGGTATTTCTAGTTCTAGATCCCTGAGGAATCGCCACACTGACTTCCACAATGGTTGAACTAGTTTACAGTCCCACCAACAGTGTAAAAGTGTTCCTATTTCTCCACATCCTCTCCAGCACCTGTTGTTTCCTGACTTTTTAATGATTGCCATTCTAACTGGTGTGAGATGGTATCTCATTGTGGTTTTGATTTGCATTTCTCTGATGGCCAGTGATGATGGGCATTTTTTCATGTGTTTTTTGGCTCCATAAATGTCTTCTTTTGAGAAGTGTCTGTTCATGTCCTTCGCCCACTTTTTGATGGGGTTGTTTTTTTTTTCTTGTAAATTTGTTTGAGTTCATTTTAGATTCTGGATATTAGCCCTTTGTCAGATGAGTAGGTTGTGAAAATTTTCTCCCATTTTGTGGGTTGCCTGTTCACTCTGATGGTAGTTTCTTTTGCTGTGCAGAAGCTCTTTAGTTTAATTAGATCCCATTTGTCAATTTTGTCTTTTGTTGCCATTGCTTTTGGTGTTTTAGACATGAAGTCCTTGCCCATGCCTATGTCCTGAATGGTAATGCCTAGGTTTTCTTCTAGGGTTTTTATGGTTTTAGGTCTAATGTTTAAGTCTTTAATCCATCTTGAATTGATTTTTGTATAAGGTGTAAGGAAGGGATCCAGTTTCAGCTTTCTACATATGGCTAGCCAGTTTTCCCAGCACCATTTATTAAATAGGGAATCCTTTCCCCATTGCTTGTTTTTCTCAGGTTTACCAAAACAGAGATATAGATCAATGGAACAGAACAGAGCCCTCAGAAATAACGCCGCATATCTACAACTATCTGATCATTCATTTATTTTACTAATGCCAGTTGCATCCAAAAGAGGTATTGAAGATGGAGAATTTAAAGTTTACAAAATCGTTTACTAATATATCTTCATCTATAGTTTCATCAAAATAGATTTTCATTACCATTGAAAATTATCGTACATTTATTTGGAATCAGAAAATGCAGTTTTAATTCTTGTTTTGAAGTTTAATAGCAATAACATTGTGAAGTAATTTAGTTACACAGAACGTCAGATTCATCATTGTTGAAACTGGACATTATATTGGTTTCTCAGCGTTGTTTTGAGGGTTGATTTTTTTAAACATAGTAAATTACTTTGTACTGTGATTTCTTACATAGCAGGCACTCATTATTGGTATTAACGAAATTTGGTTTGGAAATTGAATCCTAGTCACTACACTGCCTAGACTTGTAATGAGGTTATTATAAAACTGAATTTCACATACAATTATATGGAAATTGAAGAGTTTTTAACCATATTTTAATATTAATTTAAACTAAAAATTAATATTAAAATATTTCCCTTTCTCCAGTTGCAATTTCTATATTTAAAATACATAATTCTGTATTGAAAATTGCTAAAATAATAGATTTGAAGTGTTTTCACCACAAAAAAAGACATATGAGGTTAATTCGCTCTATTTAGCTGTATCCACAGTATATATATATTTTAAAACAGCATGTTGTACATAAATATATACAATGTTTATTTTTCAATTATAAATAAGTAATTAAAAGGAAAGTGTTTAGTGCCCTAAAAATGCATGTATTTTACAGTAAAATTTTAAGCTCAAAATTAAGGTATGTTTTATCTTTATAATATCTTTAGCTAACACACAATTTCAAAAATGATTGAAGATTGTTCATTTATTTTAAAATTTAAAACATTTTAAAATATCAACCACAAATGAAAAATATTAACCAATATATTTTCTTAAGAGAACATATTTTTAAATGTTTATGTTCATTCTTAATCTAATTTTTCTCTTTTATTGTATTGGTTTGCAATTGAAAATCAGTGCTTCCTACTGCTGTAGAGAACTATGTAAATTATTTTCTGGCAGGCCTTGATAGCACATATGTTTCTTCTAAGAATAACTAAGAAACAATCTGCTGGTGAGTGTACTTTACATCCTTGCATCCAAGTCCTTTAGGAACATTCACTATCTTTGCCACCTAAATAGAGCAACTACTCTGACTCCAGTGTACTCATTCTTATTTCTCCTTTATGACATCCAAAATCTGTAGGGCATAGACATATTTCAAATCAAAATTGAGTAATCATTCCTGTTTTACACCATACTATCATTTAAAACGAGAGTATCAGTGGTTTTCAAATATTCACAGAGAAAATAACTTAATTTTGCCAACAGTAGAAATATATAACCATGCCATTCACATAAATTTAAAAAATACAAAAATTAACATCAGCATCAAAACCTTCACCCTAAATATTATCTTGATTTACGTTTGTCATCATACTTAAAACCTTAAGATTAAGGAGAAAGTGTTTTATGCTTGATATTGTTTAAGTCTGTGTTCCCCTAAAAGTCTCATGTTGAATTGTTATTCCCAATGTTGGAGTTGGGGCCTGTGGGAGATGATTGGCTCATGGGGGCCGATTTCCCTCAGGGTGCTTCTCTCATGATGGTGAGTGAATGCTTGGGAGATCTGGTTGTTTAAAAGTGTGTGGCACATAGCCGGGTACAGTGGCTCATGCCTGGAATCTCAGTATTTTGGGAGGCCAAGGCAGGTGGATCACCTGAGGCCAAGAGTTCGAGACCAGCTTGAGCAACATGGCAAAACCCCATCTTTACTAAAAACACAAAAATTAGCCAGGCGTGGTGGCGGGTGCCTGTAATCCCAGCTATTGGGGAGCCTGAAGCAGGAGAATCTGTTGAACCTGGGAGGCGGAGGTTGTGGTGAGGTGAGATCCGCCACTGCACTCCAGACTGATTGATACAGCAAGACACTGTCTCCAAACAAACAAGCAAAGAACAACAACAACAAAAAAATGTGCGTGACACATCCCCCTCTCTCTCTTTTGCCTGCTCTGGCCATGTAAGACATGTCTGCTTTCTCTTTGCCTTCCGCTATGATTGAAAATTTCCTGAGGCCTCTCCAGCCATGTTTCCTGTACAGTCTGTGGAACTGTGAGCCAATTAAACATCTTTTCTTTATAAATTACCCAGTATCAGGCATTTCTTTATAGCAATGAGAGAATGGACTAATATAATGCTTCTCTTAAACCTTTTGAAGAGCAAAGGTCAATATTTATTCAATGAATTAAGGTTTCTTTATTAAACATATTTAAACACATGCCACCAAATGATATATTTTTTAAAAATTACAAGGAGCAGCAGCATCTTCTTTGTGAGAGTCTCATTTGCTTTCTTAGGATAAAAATTCAAATGACATTAAACATTTCTTTTTTTTACCCAGAAGTGCTATATCTATCACATAGTTTCTTTCCTTTCATTTCTGAAGATTTTAGTAATCTAGAACTGCATAGGATGGGACATTTTTCTCAGCACACCTTCCAGATTCTATATTTATATTGGTGAAAATGAGTTGTTCCTGCCTTCTCCAACCATGGCAGACATACTCTTACTAGCTCATATGCTCAGTCTTCCAGTTGCTTCTCCAATCCTATACAGAGTGTCATCCTTTCCTAAATATTGCAGGGCATATTATGTAAGTCTAAGAATCAATCCTGGATATTGTTCCTCTCCTGAGACACCAATCTGGAACACAACATACAGTTCACCAAATGCACTGATCTCAGGCTCCCCTTCTGGTCCTTCCATCATTACTGCCACTGCAATGGGACTGGAAATCTGCTGTACAGGATGTTAGAATGTATTTTGAGTAGCCCATAAGTACCTTGTGAAAGTGAAAGAAAAACAATTCCATTTTGACATGATCGGCTAAGGGTCTCACAGGAAATTTGAGAGTGGTATGTTAAAGTGGTTGAGAAACAGCCCTCTCATCTCCCTTGACATACAAATCAATGTTTCAGTTTCTGGTTTCAAAAATTCTACCTAGTCTCTTTTATCACAGTCACTTTCATTAAGAGGTAAAGTGAACAACTTTAAATCTCTTTTTATTTTTATTTTTTTTTACAGTTGGAATTATTTAAATTGAAATTTAAGGTCATCCTAAAGCTTATGTAAACTTCCTGGTAGTTTTGAATGTGAAAACTGATTTGAAACTTCCCTTGATTTTCTGTGTAATATCTGGGACATTCTTTCTGAGTTCTAGTGTGAACTGCTGAAAGGGAGGCTTCTCTAATTATATCTTGCTGCCTCTTTTTCAATCTCACCTATACCAAGGAGAATAATATATTATTATAAAACAAAGTTAAAATGCACTAAAATGAAAAATATATACTTTAGGAGTTCTCTAAAACCTTAACTCTATTTAGAAGTGGAGAAATGACTACTGACACAGAATAACATTTTTCTCTTTTGTCTGAAAGTAAGTGGACAATGTTATGGTTAATACTATTAAAACTAAGAAACAAAATTTACATTATTTCCCCTCTCCCTCGTGCAATCCAGGGACGCCTCTTGTAGCTTCTATTTTTTTGTATAAAATATAGTCTCAAAACCCAGTCTCTCCTTTCCATCTCCACTGATAAAAAATTAGTCCAATTCTTCAGTAACCTGCAGAGGGATTATTGCAATTTCTTCTAAAATTTAAAGAAATATATTTTAAAGATAACACTAATTTATACAAAAAGTTTTAGAAAACATAACAAAACGAATAGACACATTGAGCAACCACAACCTATCAAGTAATAGAATATTATTAGCTTCTTAGAAGGCCCCCAAAAGTACTTTTTCCTTGCTACTGCTGACAGCCATTTGGGCTGTCTTTAGTTTGGGACTATAGCAAATAATGCTGCTTTAAACATTCTGTACAAGTATTTTGTGCATATACATTTATCTTCTGTGCATATATACCCAGAAGCAGATTTGCAGGGTGAAAAGGTAGGATGGGCTGTGGGTGGGATGTGTTAACTTCAGCAGATATAGCCAGTTTTCCAAAGTGACTGCACCAGTTTACACTTGTATCACCAATGTCTGAGAATTCCAGTTGCTCCACTGCCTTGCCAACACTCAATGTTGTAGATGTTTTGAATTTTAGTCATTTTGTATGTAGCAGCATTTTTTTAATCCAATCCCATCATCAAGAATTGGGTAAAAAGTTTATTGGCCATTTGTATATATCACATCATTTTTGAAATACCTACTCGTGTTACTTACCTATTTTTGAGAGATGAAATTGTCTATAATTTTGTAAATGTGGCATTCTTTATATATTCTGATTAGAGCCTTTTGTGAGCTTTATGTGCTTCAACAATCTTGTTTCACTCAGTGGTGTATCAATAAGTGCCTTTATTGATGTCCTCTGAGGACATTCTTAATTTTAATGTAGTTAAATGTAGGATATGTTTGCCAAGTACTACAGTGATTAAGATAGTCTTCTATATTATCATCTAGAAGATATTTTGCTTTTCCTTTCATATCCAGATCTACAATCAGCTAAGAATTGACTTTTGTATATGATGTGAGAAGGGGGGAGTCAACTGTTTTCCTGTCATGCCAATGTCCAACTGATGCAACACCAATAATTAAAGACTCTATACTTCCTTGCAGTACCACTTTCATCATAAACCAAATTTCCTTGTATATGTGATGTTTCTGAGCTATGTATTCAATTTCAGTGATAACACAACTATCCCAAGATAAGATTGCCTCTTCTAACCAATAAATAGTTGGGTTTAAAAAAAAATCCAACTCTCCAGTAAACTGCAGAGGGATTATTCAATTTCTTCTACAATTTTAATAAATATATTTTAAAGATAACATTAAGTTATACAAAAAGTTTTATAAAACATAACAAAATGAATAGACAAATTGAGAAACCACAACCTATTAAGAAATAGATTATTAGCTTCTTAAATGGCACCTCAAAAGTATTTTTAAGTACTTAAAAATATGTAATTTTATTAAGATTACTACTGCTTTCGTTTTTAAATTTACAATTTTACCTTTTGTTTTCTAACTGATTTATTTTTTTTCACTTGTCTTTTTTCTTGTCTGCTTTTTGATAGATTAAACACTTTTTTTATTCCAAGTTTGCTTTCCATTAGTTTTCTAGTTTTATACTTCTATGATTTTTTAGTAGGCTCTCCAGAGATTACAACATGTGTGGGTTATATGTTGTGGTCACTGTGATTAGTGCTTTTTTCAGTTTTCTAGACATTCACCTTTTCTTGATTATGTGTTTGCCTATTTATTTTCCCTTCCCATTACTCTTCATTCCTTCCCATATCTCTGAACTTCTGTTACCTTTTTCCTTCACCTTGAAACCTGCCATTTAATGTGGGACTGATGCTCAGGAATACTCTGTTTTCATTTTTGAAAACGTCTTCATTTTCCTTTCATTTGGATGGCAATCTTTACTTTTAGGTTGGCAATCATTTTCTTTCCACATTTAGAGATATCATTTTGTTACCATTGACTTCATTTGTGTTTTTCTGTGAAAAATTAACTATCAATCTTGTTGTATCTTTGCAGGTGATATGATTTTATTATTACCAGAATTGGCTGCTTTATAGATTTATTCTTTGCCTTTTATTTTCAGCAGATTCACAGTAACGTGCTTGGATGTGATATTTTTAAGATTCACCCTAGTTAGGGCTTTGTTATCTGTGATCTGATGTCTTTAGTTTGAAACATCACCCAAACAATTCTTTGCTGCCATCTTTTCAAATGTTGCTTCTCCTACAGAACTGTCTCCTCTCTTCTTCAAATTTAGGTATCTTATGTGTGTCATACGCTCCTTCATTATTTTTTCATCTTTTTGTCTCTGTGCTTCGATCTGGAAATGTTCTTCTGATTTATGCTTTGTTGACTACTTCCCTTCTCAGCTTTGTCTAATCTTATTTTAATTTTTGTGTTTTTCAATTCTACACTCTCCTTCTGGATTCTTACAGTTTCTAGTTTTCTGTGAAATAGTCCATCTTACCTTTTAAACCTATGCATATCTACGTTATAGTTTTTTTTAAAGTATCCCTCTGCTATACTACAAAATACATCTCATTACTTGCTTAAAATTCTTCAATGGCTTCCTATTACACTTTAAGAAGAATGCCAGCATCTTTCTCTTGGCCTATGTGGCCATGTATGGTCTGACTCCTGCTGCTTTTTCAACTGCATCCACTATGACTCTCCCAATCCCTACTCTTTAGGCTGCATTTGACTCCTATGCTATGCTATGCTTTTCCTTAAATCAGAGTCTTTCTCTTCTGCTGGGTTTTTACATCTTTTATATATCATCTTAGTAGTAACACTTCTCTGATGACTCTCAATATGTGCCTTTCCCTCCTTCCCAGTCCCATTCCTCCCCCATGATGGGAGCGACTATATTTTCTTCCCACTGTGTACCAGGTACAGTGCTAGCACAGTACTTGGCACACTATAGGCATCAAATATTTGCAAACAAAATGACTTAGTGAATGGAAACTGCATTCCTTCTTTTCATCATTTCTCACAGTAGTAAAAATATTAAAAACTTCTAATTATCTACTTTATCTCTTTCATCTTTTCAGTTCTCAGAGCACATAGGGTATATTAAATGTTTGCTTAATAAATTTGAAAAGTTGAATTGTAAAATTCTCATGAGTATGTAGTTAAGAGTGTGTGTATATATATATGTGTGTGTATATATGTATATCATTTGTAATAGAATCTATATCATGATATGACCATACCTATTGATATAATGCCTGTATTACTCTGTTCTCACATTGGTATAAGGAAATTTCTGAGACTGGGTAATTTATAAAGAAAGGAGGTTTAATTGACTCACAGTTCCGCATGGCTGGGGAAGCCTCAGGAAACTTACAATCGTGGTGGAAGGCACCTATTCACAGGGCAACAGGAGAAAGAATGAGTGCCAGCAGAGGAGATGCCAGATGCTTATAAAACCATCAAATCTCATGAGAACTCACTCACTATCAGGAGAACAGCATGAGGGAAATTGCCTCCATGATTCAATTACCTTCCACTGGGTCCCTCATATGACCCTGGGGATTGTGGGGATTATAATTCAAGATGAGATTTGGGTGGGGACATAGCAAAGCATATCAATGCTTATTACTAATATGTTTAAACACCTACATTATTTTAATAAATTTGAATTTGAAATTTTCACAGATTTTCATCAATTTTTTTTCTACAATTTCAAATATCTGGAGTTACAGAAACAAAAGCATAGTTTGATCATGATTTGAACATACAAGCAGAGAGGATATATCTGCTTTGTAGAAATTATTTAAAATTCTGCTTTTGGACCAGTTTACTTTTAAAATATATCAGTTATTTTTTTAAAGCATATGCAAATTAGTTTACTAGTTAATAATTTGGATTTATTGTTTGAGCAGGAGTCAAATTACTAGGCCCCTACATCGGCTCTCCCAAAGGTTTCTGTGAACTTATAGAAAAAAGTGAAAAAGAATAGAACCAAAAACAAAGGCTGGACAGGCAAGTTCATGTTAAAATCCAGAAGTGACTTCTATTAATAAAGAATACTGATATAGTTTGGCTGTTTTCCTACCCAAAATCTCCTCTTGAACTGTAATCCCCTTAATCCTGATAATCCTCTGAATCCCCACGTGTCAAGGAAGAGACCAGGGGGAGGTAATTGAATAATGGGGGGAATTTCCCCTGTGCTGTTCTTGTGATAGTGAGTTCTCAGGAGATCTTAGGGTTTTATAAGTGCATGGTAGTAGTTCCTTCTACATTCATTCTCCTTCCTGCCACCTTGTGAAGAAGGTGCCTTGCGTCCCTTTTGCCTTCTGCCATGATTGTAATTTTCCTGAGGCCATACTGAACTGTGAGTCAATTAAACCTCTTTCCTTTACAAATTGCCCAGTCTCAAGCAGTTATTTATGGCAGTGTGAAAATGGACTAATACAAATACCAAAGCACCTCAGGTCAGACTTACAACAGAGGATTCCACTTACATGAGTAATGTACAATAGTCAAACTCAGAGAAACAGAGAATAAATTAGTGGTTGCCAGGAGTTGGGGATAGGGAAATGGGGAGTTGGTGTTCAGTGAATATGAAGTTTCAGTTATGCCAGATGAACAGGTTTGAGAGAACTGCTGTACAGCATAGTGTTTATAGTTAATAATACAGCATTGTGCACTTCAAAATTTGTTAAGTATAGATCTCATGTTAAGTGTTCTCACCAAAATAACAACAATAACAACAACAAACTAAACAAGCAAGCCAAACCAACCACAACAAAACAAAGGGACATGAGAACTTTGGAACATGTTAGATCTATTTCCTTGATTGTGGTGATGGCATTATGGGTGTTTGCACACATAAAAACTCATCAAATTATGTACTTTAAATTGGTACAGTTCTTTGTATATCAGCTATATTTCAATAAAGATGCTTAAAAACAATATCAAAGAGTTCATTGAGAGGCATAAATTTAACTTACACATTCTCTGAGACATAGCAGTCTGTTACCCAAGAAGTAGATAGAAGGAAATTTTAGCTATTCTTTTTTCTCTGGATTCTATCTCACAATAGACATATTTGGGTAGGTTTATTTTAAACAGTGATGATTGACCAGCCTGTTTAAAACTGCATGAGTACTTCTTCCAGGAGAACCCAGTTTATTCTTCCCCCACTGTTACTTACCTTTCTATGTTCTAATATTATATTTTCCAATAAATAGTGGAGGAATTTGCTAAAAATGGCATATTGCACCTTTGAATAAGTTGTGTACTTATGAGGGAAGAGACAAAAACCTGGCAACAGTAAGGAATTATGGGAATATTAGATTTTTACCTACTGCACTGACTGAAAGTGCCTGAGATCCTTGTCATGAGAACAGGAGAAGATTCTATCTGGTCAATCAGAGTATAACAGTGAGTGCCACTAGGCATTGGGAAATTTGGGTAAAGATAACATCACCAAATATTCTCGATTCCATGCCAGGGGTGGAGGTGTCAGATAATGATGCTAATAGCAACCAAATGGAGATTAAGCAGAAATAAAACTATTCCCAACATTTGCTTTGTTAGAAAACTTGGAGAGCTGGGTATGGCTGCAAAGGCTTAAATGAATATGAGGTTTGTTCAGGTAAGACAAAGTATCACAGATACAAAAATGCAATCTCAAAATTAAAAGCTGCTGTGGAAGTAAGATATAATACTGACATTAGAGAAAACAAATCAAGTAATATGGAGTAGAAACGTGGAAAGCTCAGAGATGGATAAAATAAGATAATGAGTTAAAATGGTAATAAACAATATTCTCCATGGAAAGACAATACAATGGAAATTTAATATTAAATTAAATATTTATGTTCCTAAGGAAGAAACCAAAACACTTAAATGGAATACATTTAAACATGTGAAATATAAATGGAGGAAACATCCTGAAGATGAAACAGAGCAAATTATACCCATCAAAAAGTTCACCACGGTCTAAGCAAAATTAATGATAAAAGAAATTAATGCCAATCCTGGAAAACTTTCTTGAATTGCAAAATAACAGAACATAAACTATAAGCTTGCAGCAGAAGACAAACTAAGAGTCTTTAATAAACAAAAATTAAACTGGCTTAACACTTCTCTGTATTCCTAAAGGTTAGTAAATGATGGTCAACTGTATAGCATTTTGAGGAGAAAACAGCCTAACCCCTGAATTATATGTCTAGCCATGTTGCTGTTCATGTAAGACAGAAATAGAAATATACTCTTATAAATGCAAGGACTTAGAAATTGTAGAAACCTTGTATTATTTCTGAAAATAGAATTATTTGAAAAATTTACCAGCCATTCATGAAACATATCAAAATTAAGAACTGATGAATGAGAAGCAAGGTATAAAATTGTTAGCAACATTCATGAAGACCATTTAAACAGTGAGGCAATTGTGCAAATATTTTTAAAAACTGTTTTGGAAAAGAAACCTCAAGATGTAAAATTATTACTTTATAAGAATAAGTGCAATCCGAAATTCAGTATTTAAAACAAAGCCCAATGTTAAAAATGGTCGAAGGGCAGATATTTCTTAAAAAGGGAACACTAATATCCTATTACATAGGGAGATGTCAGAATATATAGTTTTATTCTTGATTTGAGTAATAAAAATTTTTCATACGAAAATGTTTGAAACACAATGAAATATTTCAAACATTCGGAAAAACACAGAGAATAATAAAACACCTATGTACTGTTAAAGAAAAAATTATTCAATGATACTTGGTAAAGCATGGTAAGAAAGAGTTAATTCTGGACCACTGTGATCTGTATAGGGACCACCAGAATAGGATTTTGCAGTGTGGGAGAGAGATTTGTCCCAACTCCAAATAAAGCATGAGCAAGTGGGAACTTATAGTCAAGGAGCAGGAGGGGGGTCAGTGGTTGGAAAATTACTAAAAGGAGACATCATGGGTAAGGGAGATTCTGGGTAAGCCAACTTTGCTGAAGACAGGCCAGGGTAATCAGACATCACCTGGGGGATGGTGGAGGATGAGAAACCCAATCAAATACTGATGGTGATTGGATACTAAGAGTGGGGGTTTCATACTAAACTGACTTAGTATGGCTCTTTGCTAAAATTTGCATTCTACAAGGAAGTGCACAGATGGGCCTAGGAGAAGGGTCAGGATCCTGACTAAAGTTTGTTTAAGCAGAGAATCTTTGTCAATACCTACCATCCAGATTGAACAGATTTTTGTCATATTTGCTTCAAATCTCTTCCTCTTCCCCTTATTTTATTTTTTTAAGAAAGAAAACATTATAGACTGAGCTCATGACACTTTGTACCCCTCTCCCATTTCATTCTCTCACTTTCCTTTCTAATTTCTGCCACAATCCTGAAAAGTATCATGCCTGTTTGGTTTCTAAGGTTACCAAATATGTTTTCATCTTTCACAATAGTAGAAAACTGGTTTATGTGTTTTAAAATTCTACAGAATATATCATGATTTACATATCATCTTAAAACAATATTGAGTGGAAAATGCAAATTACATAATTATGGAAATCCTACAGCAGCTAAAATGAAAGAACTCGATTTATATGTGCTAACATGAATGAATTTTAAAACATTTTATGTGGTATAAATGCTGCTTTTGTAATAATGTAGTATTGATATATGTATAAATCAAATGTAATAACCTTTGCAGTGATGTGGTTTTATGCCCTATAAATAAACCACAATTTATGTATCAATTTTTTGATTAAAAGATATTTAGATTGTTTCCAGTTATTTCTTATTATAATTAATGATAGAATGCACGTTTGTACTTATCTCTGTGTACTCGCCTGAAAGATTCTTTAGGGTATATGCTTAGAAGAAGAAATGCTAGATTGCTGATTAGGTACTTTTTCAATTTTATTGATATTTTCAAATTATGCTCAAAGTAATACCATTTTACATGTGAGAAATCCTCTTTACTCATACCTTCACAATACTTTGTATTGTCAGACTTTTAGAAATATGCACTCACCATGAGTGAATTTGAATATCTTTCCACATATTTAGTTGACATTGATGTTTACTCTGTAATTCACATATACAAAAATGAGAACTACATATATGCATAAATATCTACATATATACACATACAGATATACATATATATATTCCATTTTAAATTGGGATGTTTGTGTGTTTTTCATGTAGAATGCAGGAGTTTTCATATGACCTGGATACTCCAAATTTATCTGTTATATATTTTGAAAATATCTTTCTGCTGTCTGTGTCTTCTCTTTTCACCGTCTTCATTGGGTCTGTTTTATTTATTTTTGTCAGTAATTTTCTTTATACTTTGTGCTTTTTTCTCTTTTTTGATTTATTTGTCTCTACTCCAAAGTAATAGATATTTTTCTACATTTTTTCTAAAGATTTTAAGTTTGTGTTTTACATATTTAGATCTTTAGGGAGACCATATGTCCCATTCTGCCTAACAGGGTTCCAAATGTTTTAGAATTTTCCCAGATTTTTTATTACATAATGAAGTATTATGATTAATAGTTTCATTAGAATAACTCATTATTTCTTCAGCAGGCCCCCTCTTTAAATTTTCACCTTCTGTCAGTGCTTTGTCTAGTATCTTCTAGTATAATATACAGAGCTCAACTTTAAGCCATGATAAATCTGAAAGATGGCCAATCATAATTCTTCTTTCTTTTCTTAGTCCTTTCTACATGCAGTGTTACCAGTTCTCCTTTTTTAAGGATATCCTAGCAATGAAGTGCTCTCTGACATAAGGAACCAGGGAAAACTAACTCCTTGTAGTGTTTTGTGTTATAAAAGTGTTATACTCTGTTGCTAGTTGTGTTATAGCCTGTGAGATGCATGATTTGTATCTTTGCTAATCATCACCAAATAGATAAGTATTTAACCCTTTGAATATCTACTGTGTAAATCTGACTAGATGTCCTATAAACATATTCAACTTTAACAAATTTGTCTTTTATAAATTTGTCTTGTAAAGTTTGCTAATATTTTATTCAAAATCATTTTGGAAATTTTTAATCCATGTATTCTACAAAAAGAGTACTAAACTAGTTCAGGATTTGTGAATTTTGGCAAACTGAAACTTTTAAAAACAGTGCTTGCAAACAAGCTTGTCTTTATAAAATCTACAGAGGAACAGTATAAATGACACCTCAAATGGTATACAAGATTTAATTTTGAAATATCATTTTCTTATTTTATGGGAAGAATGTTTTGATGGCTCTTCTAATTTAATTAAATATATTTATACTCTCTGGGAATGGAGTAAAATTGATAAGACATAATTCTGCAACATCTCAGTTTGCTAAAAATTTAAAGTATTCTTAAGTTAAAGCAACTAATTTCATTGTTTTACATAAAATATTTGGCAAACAAACAGCCTCCAAAGGGAGGTAAAAACCACCCCCAAAATTCTGTGGTTAAAATATTGTAGTACAAAAAAAAAGGAAGAAAGCAAAAGAGAGATAATTGAGTGAATTTAGTTCATTCTGACCTTGCCAGAAAGTATTTTTAATACGAATACTATTGTGTATAGAGAACTATCCCCAGAATACAACTTTGAAATATGTTGCAGACAATTTTAAGAAAGGGGAATTAAAAATTAAAAACACTAGAATTACATTTTAAAAGAATAATAGCACCTATGATACAGCTTTAGACACCTATAAGGTAAAAAAGTTAACATATGTAAATATCAAAATATAATCATTCTGTTTCTCTTTTGTGTTACAGTTAAGATAATTTATATAAAGACTTTTCTGCTTAATACATGAATATATGCTATTTTTATTTTTGGAGTGAATTTTACTTTTGAAAATATTTTCGTATAAAACTAAATTGTCAATCACCAATGTACTAAAATAATTTAAAACAAGTATTTACAAATAATTATATCAAACTTAAATAGTTTTAATTATTTTTAGTACTCTCACTAAAAACATTCCTGGTTTAAGCAATATATTATGTGATTATCCTAATTATGTTCATCTCAAATTTATTTTTGGGTGAAGTAGGAGTCTAAATTATTTTTTCCAATTATCTAAACAAAAATTTTTAAGTAAAGTATCTCTTTCTTACTGATTTTTATATAGTGATGGTTAATATTGAGTGTCAACTTGATTGGATTGGACAATGCAAAGTATGGTTCCTGGGTGTGTCTGTGAGGAGATTAACATTTGAATCAGTAGACAGGAGAGGCAGACCCACCCTCAATCTGGGTGGGCACCATCTAATCAGCTGCCAGCATAAAAGCAGGCATGGAAAGAGCAGACTGGTTGAGTCGTCTGGCCTCCATCTTTCTCCTATGCTGGATGCTTCCTGCCCTCGAACATCGGACTCCCAAGTTTTTCGGTTTTTGGACTCTTGTACCTACACCAGTGGTTTGTCAAGGGCTCTTAGGCCTTTGGCCACAGACTGAAAGCTGCACTTTCAGCTTACTACTTTCCAGGTTTTAGGACTCAGACTGGCTTCCTGGTTCCTCAGTTTGCAGATGGCCTATTTTGGGACTTCACCTTGTGATCCTGTAAGTCAATACTCCTTAATAAACTCCTTTTTATATATACATCTATCCTATTAGTCCTGTCCCTTTAGAGAACCCTGACTAATACAGATTTTTTTTTACCAGAAGTGGGGAGCTGCTGTAAAGATGTGGATAACAGGCAGAGGCGGGAACTGTTTGGAGGGTTCAGAAGAAGATAGAAAAATGTGGGACACTTTGGAACTTCCTAGAGACTTGGAGTGCTCAGAAGACAGAAAGATGTGAGAAAATTTGGAAGTTCCTAGAGACTTGTTGAATGGCTTTGGCCAAAATGCTGATAGTGATATGAGCAATAAAGTCCAGGCTGAGGTGGTCTCAGATGGAGATGAGGAACTTGCTGGGAACTGGAGTAAAGGTCAGTCTTGCTATGCAGAGACTGGCAGCATTTTGCCCCTGCCCTAGATATCTATGGAACTTTGAACTTGAGAGAGATGATTAATGGTATCTGGCAGCAGAAATTGCTAAGTGGCAAAGCATTCAAAGGGAAGCAGCACATAAAAATTTGGAAAATACACAGCCTAATGATGTGATAGAAAAGAAAAATAAATTTTGAAGAGAAATTCAAGCTGGCTGCAGAAATGTGCATAAATAAAGAGGAGCCAAATGTTAATCCCTAAGACAATGGGAAATATGTCTCCAGGGCATGCCAGAGGTCTTCATGCCAGCCCCTCCCATCACAGGCCTGGATGTCTAGGAGGAAAAAATAGTTTCATGGGCTAGGCCCAGGGCCTTGCTGCTTTGTGCAGTCTCAGGACTTGGTGTTCTGTGTCCCAGCCATGGCTAAAAGGGGCCAATGTAGAGCTCAGGTTGTTGCTTCAGAGGGTGCAAGCCCCAAGCCTTGGTGGATTTCACATGATGTTGTGCCTTCCAGTGCACAAAAATCATGAATTTAGGTTTAAGAACCTGTGCCTAGATTTCAGAAGTTGTATGGGAATGCCTGGATGTCCAGGCCAAAGTCTGTTACAAGGGCAGAGCCCTAATAGAGAACCTCTGCTAGGGCAGTGCAGAATGGAAATGTGAGGTTGGAGCCCCCACAGTGTCCCCAGTGGGGCACTGCCTACTGGAGCTGTAAGAAGAGGGTCACTGTCCTCCAGACTTCAGAATGGTTCAGATCCACCAATAGCTTGCACTGTGCTCATGGAAAAGCTGCAGACACTTAATGCCAGCCATGAAAGTAGCAGGAGTGGGGCTGTACCCTACAAAGCCACAGGGATGGAGCTGTCCAAGGCCATGGTAGCCCACCTCTTGCATCAGCATGACCTGGATGTGAGACATGGAGTCAAAGGAAATAATTTCAGAGCTTTACAATTTGACTGCTCCATTGTATTTTGGACTTACAAGGGGCCTGTAGCCCCTTTGTTTTGGCTAATTTCTCCTATTTGGAATGGGTGTATTTACCCAATGCCTGTACAACCATTATATCTAGGAAGTAACTAACTTACTTTTCATCTTACAGGCTCATAGGTGGAAGGGACTTACCTTTTCTCAGATGAGACTTTGGACTGTGGACTTTTGAGTTAATGGTGAAATGAATTAAGACTTTTGGGGACTGTTGGGAAGGCATGATTCATTTTGAAATGTGAGAACATGAGATTTGGGAGGGGCTTGGGTAGAATGATATGGTTTGGCTGTGTCCCACCTAAATCTCACCTTGAATTGTAATAATCCCCATGTATCAAGAGCTGGGCCAAGTGGAGATAAATGAATCATGGGGGCGGTTTCCCCAATACTGTTCTTGTGGTAGTGAATGAGTCTCAGAAGATCTGATGGTTTTATAAATGGGAGTTCCCCTGCACAAGCTGTCTTGCCTGCCACCATGTAAGATGTGCCTTTGTGTCTCCTTTGTTTTCCACCATGATTGTGAGGCCTCCACAGCCATGTGGAACTGTGAGTATATTAAATCTCTTTCCTTATAAATTACCCAGTCTCAGGTGTGTCTTTATTAGCAGTGTGAGTACAGGCTAATATATATATACTCTTTTTTGAACAGGGTCTCTCTTTCTCATCCAGGCTGGAGTGCAGTGCTGTGATCTTGGCTCATTGCAACCTCCATCTCACTGGCCCAGGTGATCCTCCCACCTCAGCCTTTGGAGTAGCAGGGACTACAGGTACATGCCACCACACCTGGCTATTTTATTTTGTATTTTTAGGAGAGATGGGGTTTTGTCATCAGACGGGGTTTTGACCAGGCTGGTCTCACACTCCAGGGCTCAAGCAATCTGCCTGCCTTGGCCTCCTGAAGTGCTGGGATTACAAGCATTGAGCCACTGTGCCAGGCCCCATATTTTTAATGTACTATGTTTCCATAAAATGTGAGTTTTCTTCTCAGTTCTGTACTCTGTTCTTTTGTACCATTTTTGCATTATCTTAATTACTACAGCTTTGTAATAAATATTTATATGTGGTAGATTTATATCCCAACTTTTTTCTTCAAAATTATCTTTTGATAATTTTGAACTTTATAACTTTATAAACATTATGACAGTCATTGTTCTAAAATTGGTTTTTCCAATTATTGAAAATTTAGAAATGCTACCATTAATATACAAGAATGCTATTTATTTTTCCATAACTTTGTGTCCAGCTATATTTCTGAAGTCTTTAAATAGTTCAAATAGTTTAACTGAGATTATAATTGTGTCATCCAGAAATTGTCTACCATATTTACCTGTTTTATATATTCTTTATGTTTTATTGGACTGATTGGGACTACTAAAAAATATTGAAATGATAAAGAGGTAGTGGATATCCCTATTCCTGATCATAATGCTTGTCCATTAACTGTGAAATTTTGTAACGTTTAGGGAGATACCCTTTTTGAGACTAAAGCTAAAAATATATAATTAATTAGTTTTATATTTTATCAAGTGCTTTTGCTGTGGGTAGTAAGATAATTATATTTTTCTCCAAATCTGTTTCCCTCCTATTCTATCCTATCTATTAATATGGCAAATTACATTTTAAATTTTCTATTGTTAAATCATTTCTTCATGCTAAGATAAACACTATATGGTTATGCTGCATTAAAAATATGTCATATGTATGGTACAAATATTTCATCTTAACTTTTGTATATATATTAATAAGAGAGGTTGGTCTAGATATTTCTTTTCTTGTACTATCTTGGTGTGTGAAAGTTATACTAAGCTCGGAACAAGGATTTGATACACATTTCTTATTTTTATATGTTACACGAGAAATTGCATATATTTGAAGTTACCTGTTTTTGAAGCCTGGGTAAAATCTCAACTTTGAAACTTCCTGGATCTTCTACAGTTTTATGAGTGACAGTGATTGCTGATTTGATATAATAGTACATATCTGATCAGGCTTTATTAAATCTTCTTGAGTCAGTTAATCCCTATATTTTTCCTAGGAAATCTATTAATTTCCTGAAATTTAATTTGAAATATAAAATTTTTTATTTATTGACATCACTGTATTCAATCTATTCTATTTTTAAAAAAAATATGTATATGCAGTTGTTTTCTCTTCTTAGTATTATTTATTTCTTCCCCTTGATTTTAATAGGTTTTTTTATGATTTATACATTTTATTAGTCAATATACACAATCAGCTTTTGACTTTGTTCATCTTTTTTATTTAGAAATGCATTAATTAGAAGTGTTTTAGTTTCCAAAATTTATGGAGAATTTTTCTTGATTATTTTTTTCTTATTGATATTAATGCCATATGGCATGCACTGTAAAAGTCTGGGCTGTGAGAGCAGAAACTTTTTTTTAATGGATTTATTCAACTCTGTCCTTTTTTGTGTCTAACGCTTATCAAATTGATCAGTGCAAATTACCCAGCATGGCCTTACCAGGCCAGATTACACAGATCCTATTTGAGAACTATGGCAGTCATGCTAAAGAGTGGAGTGGTATACATATGTCTTTGCACTCAAGTAAAGGATTTTTTAAAAGATGAATTTTTCTGTTATATAATATCCTTAATTTTATACTTTAGCCATCTTGAACTTCAGTCTGACTCAATGACCTTTCTATGATGATCTCTTCATTATAACAGGACATCTGTACTTACAGGATATCTGTACTCCATGTAAGACCATGGAACATAAAAATTTGAGGTTCTTACCAACACTTAGGATCACTTTTTTTGTTTTCAGATTTGAGTGAAAGCAACAAAGGGTCCCCAGCTGCACAGGTATTCCTCCAAACCATTCTTGTCTTTTTCTCCTTTTCCTCCTTCCTTCTCACATGAATGTTTGAATGTATTCACATATTAATTCATTGTTTTGCATGGGACAGGCACTATGCTAGAAGCAGGGAACCCAGCAGGAAACCACAAATATGAATTCTGCCCTCAAGGATTGTCAGTCTAGATAAGAAGGCAAACAATACCCCCCCACAAAAAATGTACAATAATTATACATGAACTAGCATTGTGATAAGTACTATAAAGCTGGCAAATAAAAAGGAGGTGGTGGTTCTTCTATGGGGAGGAGGCAAAAGAGACTAAAAAAAAAAACTTGAGGTCTCAGGCTTTTTCCATCTTGGTATGGTTAGGCTCTGTGTCCCCACCCAAATCTCATCTTGAATTATACTCCCATAATTCTACTGGGAGGGACCCAGTAGAAGATAATTTGAATAGTGGGGGCGGTTTCACTCATATTGTTCTCATGGTAGTGAGTAAGTCTCACAAGATCTGATGGTTTTATCAGGGGTTTCCACTTTTACATTTTCCTCATTTTCTCTTGCCACCACCATGTAAGAAGTGCATTTTGCCTCCCTCCATGATTCTGAGACCTCCTCAGCCATGTGGCACTGTAAGTCCAGTTAAACCTCTTTTTCTTCACAGTCTTGGGTATATCTTTATTAGCAGTGTGAAAATGGACTAATACAGTAAATTGGTACCAGTAGAGTGGGGCGCTGCTGAAAAGATACCAAAAAATGTTAAATCAATTTTGGAACTGGATAACAGGCAGAGGTTGGAACAGTTTGGAGGGCTCAGAAGAAGACAAGAAAATGTGGGAAAGTTTGGAACTTCCTAGAGACTTATTGAATGGCTTTGACAAAAATGCTGATAGTGATATGAACAATAAGGTCCAGGCTGAGGTGGTCTCAGATGGAGATGAGGAACTTGTTGGGAACTGGAGCAAAGGTGACTCTTGCTTTGTTTTAGCAAAGAGAATGGCAACATTTTGCCCCTGCTCTAAAGATCTGTGGAACTTTGAAGTTGAGAGAGATTATTTAGAGTATCTGGTGGAAGAAATTTCTAAGCAGCAAAGCATTCAAGGAGTGATTTGGGTGCTTTTAAAGCATTCAGTTTTGAAAGGGAAACAGCATAAAAGTTTGGAAATTTTTCATGCTGATGATGAGATAGAAAAGAAAAAAACACTTTCTGAGGAGAATTCTAGGAGGCTGCATATATTTGAGGTGCCGAATGTCCCTCCCCAAGGCATGTCAGAGGTCTTCACAGCAGCCCCTCCTATCCCAGGCCTGGAGGTTTCAGTGGAGAAAATGTTTTTTGTGGGCTAGTCCGAGGGTCTCCGTGCTGTGTGCAGCCTAGGGACTTGGTGCCCTGTGTCCCAGCTGCTCCAGCCATGGCTGAAAGGGGCCAATGCAGAGCTTAGGCCATGGCTTCAAAGGGTGCAAGCCCCAACCTTGGCAGCTTCCATGTAGTGTTGAGCCTGTGATTGTACAGAAGTCAAGAATTGAAATTTGGGGACCTCTGCCTAGATTTCAGAACATATATGGAAACGCCTGGATGCCCAGGCAGAAGTCTGCTGCAGGAGCAGGGCGCTCATGGAGAACCTCTGCTAGGGCAATGTGGAAGGGAAATGTGGGGTCAGAGCCCCAACACAGAGTCCCTACTGTGGCACCACCTAGTGGAGCTATGACAAGAGGGCCACTGTTCTCCAGACCCCAGAAGGGTAGATCCACCGACAGCTTGCACCTTGCACATGGAAAACCACAGACACTCAATGCCAGCCCGTGAAAGCAGCTGAGAGGAATGCTGTATCCAGAAAAGCCACAGGGACAGAGCTTCCCTAGACCATAAGAACCTACCTCTTACATCGGCATGACCCAGATGCGAGACATGGCGTCAAAGGAGATAATTTTGGAACTTTAAGACTTGACTGCACTGCTGGATTTTGGACTTGCATGGGGCTGGTAGCTACTTTGTTTTGGCCAATTTCTCCCATTTGGAATGACTGTATTTACCCAATATCTGTACCACCATTGCGTCTAGGATGTTACTAACTTGCTTTTGATTTTACAGGCTCATAGGCGGAAGGAACTTGCCTCGTCTCAGATAAGTCTGTGGACTTTTGAGTTAATGCTGAAATGAGTTAAGACTTTGGGGGACTGTTAGGAAGACACGATTGGTTTTGAAATGTGAGGACATGATATTTGGAGGGGCCAGGGGCAGAATCGTATGATTTGGCTCTGTGTCTCCACCCAGATCTCATCTTGAATTGTACTCCCATAATTGCCAGGGACCCAATGGGAGATAACTTGAATCATACTGGCTGTTTCCCCCATACTGTTCTCGTGGTAGTGAATAAGTTTCACAAGATCTGATCATTTTATCAGGGGTTTCCACTTCCAGATCTCCTCATTTTCTCTTGCTGCCACCATGTAAGAAGTGCCTTTTGCCTCCTGCTATGATTCTGAGGCCTCCCCAGCCATGTGGAATTGTAAGTCCAATTAAACCTCTTTTTCTTCCCAGTCTCAGTTATGTCTTTATCAGCAGTGTGAAAATGTACTAATACACATCTCCTGACATAGAGAAGAAAAGAATCTGTGTTAGTACTTAGTCACTTTTTTTACCCTCTGGAAGCACAGGGGTTATAAATGTATATCCTGGAGTCTGACTGTTGAATTAATATTCAGGTTCCACTATTACCTGCTGAGGACATTTGAGTATGTTATTTAACCTGTGTATGTGTGTTTCTCCCTATGTAAACTGCAGATAATAACATCCAATTCATAGGATTTTTGTTCAAAGTACATGCAATATTCTATGCAAGTTAATAAGCATATTGGTTCCTAGCACTCAGTAAATGCTGGCTTCTAGTAGATATAATTCCACTCTTTATCTACTCTATTACTTTTGATACTTACACAGAAGCTCCAGAATTTCTTGTGTGTAAATCAGTTCTCTCCTACTCTGCTCCCTTTGCTCACCTCTCTGTGCAAAAGCCCCTAACAGGACAGTTTGTACCCATTGTACTCATAAGGGCGAGGTCAAGAGAAATACATTCCTCTACTTCAGGAATTCTGAAGTGTAACCACATGGCATTTATCTTGTGTGCATGAGTTTTTACTAAAAAGGAAGGTTTATTTTTATTTATGTATAAGTTTTTACTATTTTTAAATACTGATTAAATCAGTGGTTATCAGCTTTCTCTGCATACTAAAATCACTTAAAACTCTTTAAAAATATCAGAAATACTAGCCTCACAGGAGAGCAATAAACTCCGAAGCTCTAAAACAAGTGACCTGTGTTGGTTTAATATACATCCAGGAGTAAAACTTAGTGCATTACATACAGCTTTTATGAACATGTCAGAGAGGGGCAAATACATCAACCATGACAGTAAACATAAAAGTTCTTAGTGAGACATTAAGAAAACCTTCTCTAAAAGGTTTTTTCAAAAGGATATTGAATACAAAAAAATTCAAATAGGACTACTTAGAAAAGAAAAACAAAACAAACAAAAACCAACAATATGACAGAAAAGCATAAACATTTTAATAATTCACAACTTTATTTTGAATAAAAAGGAGATCGGGGTGGTAACTTTAAATTTCAAATAAATTAGAATTTACATGATAAATATATATTTTTCTGCCAATTAAAAATAAAATAATAAATAATTCAAGTAAATTAAAATTTGTAACAAAAAATCATTAAATGGGGCTGAAATGTAATTTTATATCAGGAAGAGTTATAATCCTCAATGACAATATAAAAATCATGAATTTCTGTGAACTGAATAATAGCATTGAAATCATAAAGCAAAAGTTCCATGAAATACAAAGAATAATTTGTAGAAAGATGATCGCTCTGGGGGATTTTAAAACACCTCTTTTATTCTTGACAGATCCAGAAGATTGAAAAGAAACAATGGAGGAGAATCTGAGTATACAGTTACTAAAGTGGAATTAATAAATAAATATTAGTCATATACATGTGCCAAAAGTATTTTTGGAAGGAAATGTAAATTATGCATTAAACTGAATATGATAATCTGGACATAAAGCATGACAGATTTACAAAGAGAAAATAAGAACTAGAGTGGGAAGAAGGGAGAAGAAGAAGTGGGCTAAGGCTCCCTTTACACAGGCAGTGGTTATTAGATGTAATTTAATTCTTTTCAATGGGTATTATTTTATTTATTTTTCCTCTTTATATTACAAAAATTAAATATCATGTAAAAATTATAAATTGCAGATAATTTTGTAAACAATTGAAATGATTAAAAACCCTACCACGTAATCAAAGTACGCATATTGCATTTTAAATATAACAAAAACATATCACAAAACTCTTTTGTTGAATTCCCTTCCAAAGACCACTAAAGAAACCTATTGAACATACATACAAAATTGGGTTTATTAAACGTGCTGAGCAAGGGACATCATTTTGTCAGAATTTAAGTAAGTCCCAAGAGGAAAGGGTGCATATAGGATTTCAGGAACTCTAGTTATGATTATTTTATAGCAGAAGTTAGTGATCATGGTCTGACAGGGAATGGTCAGATTTATAAACTAGGTTACTTGCTGGAATAGTTAGTGCTCTTTAGAACATATAGATCTGTGTTTACTGTTATTGTTACTTAGCTTGAAACATAAGTCCTGAAACGGTGTTAAAACATTTTATTTGAGCTTAGATCATTTGTGTTCCAGGTAATAGTCTGATACTGTTTATTTGTTTGCAAGTTATCATTGTTTTAAATTTTCAAGCTGCGATTTCCATATCAAGTAACATGTATCTACACAAAAAATTCTAATGGCAGGATAATGTCCCATATGTTTGAATTAACAATAATTTAACCAAACCACTATTGTTGAACATAGTTTTCATTCTGCTTAGATTAGACATTGCTTATCCTTGTACACACATCTGTGAGCCCCTCCTGAATTATTTTCTTAAGATGAATTCCTCAAATTGGCACACCTAGGTTGAAGAAAAGAAATTTTAAAAAAAGTATTTCTGATGAAAATGATCAAAGTATCCTCCAGAGACCGTGTACCAGCTGAATATGGGGTTTTTAGTTTCCGTCAAGCAAGTCAAAGCTAATTCATTCATTTATTAATTCAACAAATATGTATTTAATACCCATTAGATGTCAGTGACTAATGTCAGTGACTAATACCAGTGTACAAGGTTTACACAGTCCTGGTCTTCATGAATCATGATGGCAGAGAAGTTGGAATGTGCCCCTGGTGTGGCAGCTCCATCTCTCTAGGTAAGGTGTGGAGAGTCTGGCTAGAGCTACCTATTGAGGCAGAGGGAGGAGAGAGAGCAGAATGAGGTGCAGCTGGCACTTCTAATACTTCATAGAATAAAGAGCTAGATATTAACTTTGGTGAACACCAAAGAAGGCCAAGAGCTATCTCGAGGATTGCCTGAATAACTGAGAGGACTCTAGCAAAAAAACACTGGAGGCAAACTACTGGGGATAGGAGCCAAGCTGAGATGAGAGTGGGAGTTGTATGAAGTCAGTAGAAGTGTGACTCACTCACATGTTTCCGGGGATGATGTTGTATAGTGTAAAAGCCTGCAAAGGGAATCTCAGAAGAACCCACAAAAGCACCCCAGGAGAGAAGGTTGACTTGTGGATGCCTAACATAAAACTACCAGCAGTCCAGTTACACCAGTCAAATAAATCTATGTCTTTTCTCTTCCAGTCCTTCTATACGGCTGAAAGAGAAACCAGTGGTTTAGTCCTGCAGTCATATCATGACCAAGTTTACATGAAATTCTTTATTAGAATTTCTTCAACACCATATCTCTGGGAAAGGGGGTGGGCAGGGCTCCATACACTGTAGGTGTTGTATGGTGATGTCCTCAGAGGAGACCTCAGAGTAGAGATCACAGTAGTCCAAGGTTTTGATATCTGCCAGAAGTGGCCTGCAATGCTTTGAAAATCCGTAAATATGGAAGCATAGAAGATGCTGAAATGGATTAAGAAAAGAAGTTTGTACTTGGATCCAAACACTAGTACTAGGATGAATTTTACATAGGTTTTGACTTTGTTCACAAGAGCCACTTCATTATTATCTCTTGGACTCCATGAGTTAGGCAAGGATGGGAGATGGCTAGTTCAGGGTCTCTGGAAGGCTGATGTTATGGATGAAAGGCAGAGTCTGGTCCTGTCACCTCACCTCCAGATGCTTTAGCTTGTCTTAGGTGGGTCAGGATTAAGTCCAGGTTAGATATGGTTTGGTTATTTCCTAACTTTGTGGAGAGACCGTAAGGATCATTTAAAGAGATTGCATGTTAGTTGTTCAGGTTTCTGGGGGTATCTGATAGTACTAATAGAAGGCTGATGCTGGCCTAGGCTAAGAAAATGTATCTTTTACTTTTTAATCAAACAGCTGATTGACTTTGATATATTTATTTGTTATTTTGATTTTCGGGGCAGTAAAAGAAAGAGTGAAAAGATGTTTATGGCTTTCAATGAATGAGAGAAATGAACTTAAGTGTTTTCCTTCCTACTTTTAAATTAAAATGTAAAGTTATTTACCTAAATGTGGATAAGTATTTTTTTACTGTGAAATTTTATTGCATAAAATATTTTATTCTGCAAAGGTGATTATGGAAACCTGAGATTAAATTTAGAATTTTATTATTTGCACCAGTGCAGCTCACCCTGAAGCACTTATTCTTTTCATATAAGCAGGGTCTGGAATTATGTTTAAGTGCAATTTGTACATCCTGAAAAATATAATGACTAAGCAAAAACATGCATGAACAAGCAAACAACACAAAAGAAACAAAATTTCAATACTACTGAAATAAATTCCTTTAAAGGCTGTGATATATAATTTTTCCAATCACCACCTCTGCCAATAAAATATTTTAGTCATGATAGTCACATTGCCTGTATTTCTTCAAACATAAATTGTTTTAAAGTCTCTGAACTCTTGTCCTTCCTTTAACTTTCACACTGTATACATTTTTTCGTTGGGACATCATGTTATTTATTTCAAGAGAGCAATATTTTTAACTTTTTTATGAGGCACACTGAAAAGATGTGTGATTAATGATTCATGATCCAAAATTCTAACACCTTCCCACTGCATTGTGTAAAATCTTAAAAAATGCAAATATAATATGTGCCAGTTGGTTGAGGAGCACCCCTCTAATATATTCATTCCAATCTTTCTCCACTGCCCTTGGTAATGCCCACATTTATTGTTGCATGTTGCTTTGGGATTGTAGCATTATTCACAATAGCCAAGATGTGAAAGCAACACTTCCACATATTGGCTATAAGGGAATCAGCCTAAGTGTTGACTGATCCTAATGGATGCATGGACAAAAAAACTGTGATATAGAATACTATTCAGCCATAAAAAAGAAGAAAATCCTTTCTTTTGAGGCAACATGGATGAGCCTGGAGAACATTATATTAAGTGAAATAAACCACATGCCAAAAGACAAATACTACATGATCTTAATTAGATGTGCAATCTAAACATTGAACTCATAGAAGCAGAGAGCAAAATGGTAGTTACTAGCAGCTGGAGAAGGAAGAAGTTTGGGGAGATGTTGCCCAAAGGTTACAAAATTTCAGTTAGATAGGAGAAATAAATTCAATAGATCTATTATACAATATCATGACTACAGTTAATAACAATGTATGGTATTCTTGAAAATCATAAGAGAATACATTCTGTATTCTCACCACAAAAAAATGTGAGTTAATGCATATATTAATTAGTTCATTTTAGCCATTTCATAATGTATACATATTTTACAGCGTGTTGTACATGATAAATATATGCAATTTTTATTTGTTAATTTAAAAAATTCCCTCTCTTCAAAAAGAAAGTGGTCATGGATACTTACTAATAATAGGAAAATACAGAGAATTTTGAAAAGATTATAATGTAGCTGCTAGGTATCTTTTATCCCATATGTTTCATCCCGTATTCCTATTTATCTATAAATTTTATTGTAGATAACAAACTTCTCAAAACTTCACTAAGCTATATATACGCACATGAAAAATTAAAGACATTACATTGATCCTTAAGTTATTTATCATTTTATTTGGAAAACAGATGAATACACAAGGAGAATGGTGTACAATGCCAGATATTGCATCCCTATATCAATATTTAGGTTAAAAATTGTGCATTATAGTGGTAGGCATTGGAAATAAACAATGAGGGAAAGGGAAATTAAAGGAGGCTCATTAGGAAAGTGAGGCTTAAAATTTACTTTGAGGAATAGATAGATTTTATGCAATCAAAATGACAATGGGTTATCAAGAAGGGACAAAACAAGTGCAAGATTTGCTTGTTGACAAGTGATATGGTTTGGCTGTGTCCCCACCCAAACCTGATCTTGAATTGTAATCCCCATAATCCCTGTGTGTCTAGGGAGAGATCTGGTGGGAGGTGACTGGATCAAGGAGACAGTTTCTCCCATGCTATTCTCATGATGGTGAGTTAAGTTCTCATGAGATCTGATAGTTTTATAAGGGGATCTTCCCTCTTCGCTCCTTACTCTTCTCTCTCCTGCCACCATATGAAGAAGGTCCTTGCTTACCCTTTGCCTTTTGCCATGATTGTAAGTTTCCTGAGGCCTCCCCAGACATGTGGAGCTGTGAGTCAATTCAACCTCTTTCCTTTATAAATTACCCAGTCTCGGGTATTTCTTCATAGCAGTGTGAGAACAGACTAATACAATAAGTGAAGAAACCAGTCTGATTACATTAGTGGATGACAGTTTTAGGCACAGAGTAAAATAAGACAAAAGAAGTAGAATGAGTTAATATTTTGCTGGCTCTAAAGATAAGGACTCTATATTCTTTCCATCATTGAATTCAATAAATATTAATATTATGTTCTTATGTGTAGACCAATGTGTTAGGTAAAAGGAAATATTTGAGAAGTGATGTGGGGAAAATGATAAGTAGTTTGTTTGGCAGAATCAAAATGGTGTTTAGAACAGTTATTCTAGCATTACTCTCCAGAAAATAGGTGTTTATTAAGAAATAGTGGCAAAGAGTAGATTTGCAGAAGGAACAAAAACATTTCACGGTCCCAAATAATGCACTTTAATCAGGATGATTTATCACTTTTAGTCCATTTGCAGGTTTTCTAACAATTTACTCTCAGCTCTGAATCATCGATGCTGCTCTTAGTTGCTGATTTGTATCGCATGAAGTATGCTCACAAATATACATTAGTTTTCTTCTGGGGTAGGCTCTCTGGCCAACTATTTATCTTTGATTGCTCAGCTGCAGTAACTTCTCATTTTCTAATTTACATTTTCTCAAAAAATAGAGGAGCATTGTCTTTGTATCACTGAGGTAATTGTAAGTTTCTATTATGTTCAGGCATGTTTCTTTTATAATATTACAAAACTTTTCAAAACCAAAATGTAATGTAAACAAACATATTCTCCACAGTTGGGAGGGTGAAGATGAGAGGAGAGTGGAAGAGGCTAGGGAATATATTTATTCAGCTAAAGCAGAAATGCTCGTGATGCTCAAAAGATAAAGTAACTGTTCAATTCTTCCTCAGTTATACTTGTTAAGGTCTTTTCCTATAAATAAAACTAGGAATGGAACTTTAAATTACAGGAGAAAATGAGCTATGCAATTGCCTATGATTTAAATGCAACTATAGTAGTTGAAAATATCATTTTAGAAAGAATTTGCTCTGACATTCTTCAGCAATGCAAATATGCCCTATATCAGATATCAACATTTCTTGATATTAAAATCACTGACTGGACTATTGTGGGTTTATTATAAGAAAGATAATTTTAAATTACAGCATAATAGCTCTTTAGATATGACCTCAGAGGTTAGGAGGTGATGGGTTAATTTCTTGTAGGAAAGAGCTGCTTCCCATTTTCATCAACCTGGAGGGATGGGTGAGAGTAATTCTAC
Organism: Homo sapiens; assembly: GCF_000001405.40. Classification (NCBI taxonomy): domain Eukaryota; kingdom Metazoa; phylum Chordata; class Mammalia; order Primates; family Hominidae; genus Homo; species Homo sapiens. The sequence continues at coordinate 113,632,515 of NC_000007.14, read as the reverse complement.
AAGTCTGAAGTTCCTGGGCTTTGCAAGGAGCACAGGTGAAAATCTAACTGGTGAAAAATGAAGGCTAATGATGTCTCAGCTACAAAATAGTGACCGCATGTATTCTTTTGCATAAAGTGATAATTTGGGAACAACTCAATGGAGTTGATAATAAATAACACATTTCTTTTAGAGTCTGTAAAATCCTCTGGCTATGCTAATTTGAATTATAATTTCTGATTCGACTGGGAGATGTTCTTGTAAGGTAAGAAACAAATAAATTGAAATGTATATACTTCCTTTAATAAGACTCTGCAGCCTTTGGTAATTTAGTAATCTCTGCGTGATTAAATTACGTAAATCAGTATCACTTGTATAGGGTAAATTATAGATTACTCACTACACTGGCTACTGCAAAATTGAAATAATCTTTGTGGCACTCTTCAGGGCATTCTATAGTCAATAAACAAAACATGAAACATTTTCATTTAATGTTTGGACAAAAATACCATGTGATGTGGCATTATTATACATTTTTAAGAATCTGGGTAAGTGAATTTTATTAAAAAGTGCAATGTAGAAATTTAAAACAGCTTGAAAATTATTCTTCTTGTCAAGTTGATCCTCTTAAATGTTCAGAGAACCAAGGAAGGCTCTTAAGAATGAGGATTCCATTTATGATGACAGGAAAGAAAAACTTGACACATCAAATACCCTAAAATTAATCAGATTTTTACAATTACATTTATTTTATGATAAAATATAAACATACTTTGAGATAAATTGGCTTGGAAGGGACCACTTTAGGGGCACTTATTAACTTTGTCCTATACCCATCAAAACAGTGATGTAGCATTTAAAAATCATAATCAGCCGGGAGGCGGAGCTTGCAGTGAGCTGAGATGGCACCACTGCACTCCAGCCTGGGCAACAGAGCGAGACTCTGTCTCAAAAAAAAAAAAAACAAAAGAAAAAAAATCATAATCAGTTATTAGAACCATAAAGGCAAAGTCTATTATTGATTGCTTACCAAACCGGAGTTATCATCTCTGTCAATTTCTCTGTGGTATTATTTGTATTATTCTGACATTCACACAATTAAGGTATTATCCATATAGGTAAATATTATTTTTAAAAATTATGTTACCATTAGTATAAAACAAAATCAGAGGCCTGAAATGATTAATTAGCACAAAGGAGTCAGTAATTGAAAAGGTGGAAGTAATGGTAGGGTCATGCGATCACATTTACATAATCTGATAGTATTAATAATTCTAAGGTTAGTTTTATGAATGAGACTCTGCCATGAAGGTAGCTAGACCAAAGTTCTCAAACAACAGGGAACTCCACGATAGTCAGTCTGAAAGACTTACTTTGCATTATATAAATAAGTCACCCGATTGTGCCACCTCTTCATTTAATTTTATAATATGCAAAATCTATATAAGTGTCATTATTACCACTCCTCACCTGTCTTATTGGATGTGATGTGATTAATTAAGGGAGGATTCAACTTAATTATCAGGTCCCTGGCCCCTGCAGCTTGCCAGTCCATATCTGCCTCAGTCTCTGACCCCTATGTCGGTGAAATCCTAAGCCCGCATTTTTATAACTCAGCATTAAATCACAATTCTGCTGCAAGTTTTGTTCTGCCTTTCTTCCTTAGTTGTGGTAATAGATTCTAACTGATTCCTTGTAGGTCTGCTCAGAACTTTGAGTTCTTAAGTTACTCTGGATAATTCTAATCTTATATTATATGTCCAATTTTACTTTATATATTGAATTTTAAAACAAACCCATACAGTACTGCCATAAATCCTAACCTCATTATCATAGCTGTTCTTTTATACTGACTCTCACTTTATGCTATTTTCACAGTGTCTCTGCCTCATACGATAAACAGAATAGTTGCAAAATAAATATGCAAAAACCACGGCTTTCCTATAAATACCAATAGCTATCTAAAATAGTACTGAAATGACTAGAATACATCCAAGATACAAAATAAGATCTTATTATCATTAATATATAAAAAGTATACTAAAAACTTGAAAAAATACCCAATTAAAAATGGCAAAGAATAACAGTAATTGACAAAAGAAAACTACAAAAGTCACAAAAAAATATGTGCAACTATTTTAGTTGGTGAGGATTTTCTAAATGGGCAGTCTAATGCATTGCTTATGAAAATATAAATTGATACAAATATTTTCAAAAGTGATTTGCAAAATGCAACTGAAAACCTTGAAAAGACCTATAAAATTTGATGCAGTAATTCAAGTCATGGATTTTTCTTTCTTTTTTGCTAAAGGAAAATCATGAATGTATACAAAGATTTCTGTATAAAGATAGCAGGAAAAAAGTCTAAGTACTCAACTAAAGGGTTTAGAATGAATAAGTAATATTGTAGTACAGCCTAGTAAAAAGGAGGACAGGGCACTAGAATCATATTGCTTGAATTCAAATCATAGCTTCTCACTTGTAAGATGTACATCTTTGAGTATGAATTTAATCTCTTTGTACCTTGATTTTGTAATTTTTGAAATGAAATAGGTAATAATAGTACCCATCTCAAAATATTAAGAGCATTAAATTAGATAATACTATAAGCATTTGAGACAGTATCTGGTACCTAGAAACAGTAAAATTTATTATTGTCTGATGAAATATTATGCAGTCATAAAGTCATGTTGGTAAATATTAATAATGTGAAAGTCATAAACACTATGTTAAGCAACTATGTATGTATCAACAATATTTTAATAAAATAAAGTCAGTATTTTTCAACTACTTTCTAATGATTTTTCTTTTCCCTAGTTCAGTTTCTTTCTCTGCAGTTGCACTACATTTATAGCCTCTGGAGACAGGAGTGTGAAGGCCACCTAGGGTAAGAAAAGCACAGGCAAACTTCTTTTGGCACAGTTCTGATATGCAGGAATTCCAGATACCACAGTTTAGTTAAATGACACCAGTCCCCTGGAAACATGATTTAAATTTTAGTCACTATGGTATATTAATTATGAGTAATCGGGTAAAACATAAACTTCACCACTAGTTCTTCAGTCCACATTTCACTATGTAGAAGATGTGCATCATGATCAGTGGCCAATCACATTACTTCTTTCACAATCTGTCAGTGACTGGGCTCTGTGCAACTGCATGTTCATGTACAGACAGCAAAGCATGTGATTGTGTTTCCTCCTGGTCTCCCGATGATAAAGCCATCTTACATTTTACAAAAATATATAATCCAACAAGAGAAATGTCCAAAAAAGATAAAAGTGCAGCAACGAAACAAAACGGGATAATGCTGGAAGTGAAATTCTAATTGAAAGTGAATGGAGTTATAAAGAAAGAGCTGGCTGTGGGAGTGTTGACACTGCTGCCATTGGAGAGACTATATACATAGCCTGAGGAACTGAGTGAAGGTGAACTTACCGACAGAAATGAGGAAAGAGGTTTTGACAAAAAGGATGAAGATGTCCCAGAGGAACTGACACCAGCAGAAATCTTCACATTAAAGGAACTCTTGGAGATATTTCATGACATCGAGGGTGCAAAGGAGAAAATGTTGGAGCTGTTCCATACTTAGAAAGAAATATAACGATTTTGAAGGCATGGTTAAAGTGTTCACTAATTATCATAAGTTATGAAAAGTAAAAGAAGACAATCTGTCCAAACTACTCAACAAGTTTTTTTTGTTTTGTTTTGTTTTGTTTTTTTACAAATAAATAAAACGTTTTAGGTCTCAGTGTTTCCGATTTTTGTCATTTACACTGTGCTAAATAAATAACAGCTTTATTATTGTTGTCATTCCCTATACATTTGTAATTGACAATAAAAAGCTTTTGATATTTTTAACACAAATTTTTAAATGCCAGGGAGCAATCACAATTTTCCAACTGATTATTAAGATTGCTTTGCATGATCTTGTTTTGCATTGTCATTTTTATGGTACTCTGCCTCTGTATAAAGTGAAAGCTGCCTGTATATGATATAAAGGTAGTGAGAGAAAAAAGGGTAGAAGGATGCTCTTCCAAGACTCAGAAGATTTAGGGGAGAGAATCAGCCAAGAACAAGTTATCTGATATGATTATCCTTCCTCCACACAAGGAATGGTGCTGATATCAACATAATAATTTGGGAAGATTCTAAAGCATGGAGAGATTACTCCTCACTTCTCAGGGAAAGAAAAAGTCAAGCCTTTGTGAAGCATAAGCTAATATGAGGATAAACAGCAGTTTAGAAATAGTGTGATTATTAGCAAGCCCAATACATTGGCATATTGTGGAGGAGGTCTATTTCTTATGTCACCTAGTGGAAGATTTGTTACCCGACTGGTTGCTCAAGAGAGGGGTGGATAACCTTGGACTGATACTCTGATGAAGGATGTGGCTATACTAGAGCAGGTCCATCAAGAGCCAAACTTATGAGTCTACTTGGGAAGAGAAACGCAAGTGCTTTCTGGAAGTGACCAAGAGAATAGAAGAGAATAGTCCAGGAGTTGCATGAGCTGCTGTGTGTTAGGTGCTGTTGGGAACAGGCCCCCCAAAATCTGGCCATAAACTGGCCCCAAAACTGGCCATAAACAAAATCTCTGTAGGACTGTGACATGTTCGTGGTGACCATGACACCCACGCTGGAAGGTTGTGGGTTACTGGAATGAGGGCAAGGAACATCTGGCCCACCCAGGGCAGAAAACTGCTTAAAGGCGTTCTTAAACCACAAACAATAGCATGAGCGATCTGTGCCTTAAGGACACATTCCTGCTTCAGATAACTAACCAAACCCATCCCTTTATTTTGGCCCATCCCTTTGTTTCCCATAAGGAATACTTTTAGTTAATCTATAATCTATAGAAACAATGCTTATCGGCCAGGCATGGTGGCTCACGCCTGTAATCCCAGCACTTTGGGAGGCCGAGGCGGGTGGATCACGAGGTCAGGAGATCGAGACCATCCTGGCTAACACAGTGAAACCTCATCTCTACTAAAAATACAAAAAATTAGCTAGGCATGGTGGCGGGTGCCTGTAGTCCCCACTACTTGGGAGGCTGAGGCAGGAGAATGGCGTGAACCTGGGAAGCGAAGCTTGCACTGAACCAAGACTGCACCACTGCACTCCAGCCTGGGTGACAGAGCGAGACTCTGTCTCAAAAAAAAAAAAAAAAAAAGAAAAACAGGAAAAGAAACAATGCTTATCACTGGCTTGCTGTTAATAAATACGTGGGTAAATCTGTTAGAGGCTCTCAGCTCTGAAGGCTGTGAGACCCCTGATTTCCCACTCCACACCTCTATATTTCTGTGTGTGTGTCTTTAATTCCTCTAGCACCGCTGGGTTAGGGTTCTCCCCAAATGAGCTGGTCTCAGCAAGATGCTAACAGGATGAATGAGATATACTTCAATTGGATGTCAGAAGGAGCCTCCAGCAAGAGGAAAATCCTTCAGAATCTTCCCTACAGTGGAAAAGGATACATAAACTTACTTCTGACCTCAAAAGTCACTTTGAAATGGAAGGAGGGAACATCTTAAGAGGGACTGGTAGAACGTTTACATTTTGAATTGACAATATTTACCAGAGACATTTTTAAACCTGAAGTAGATGGAAGTTTTGTTTGGTTATGGTGCCCTTTTTTTGACATATCATATATGTGTCAATTTTGATCTCCCTAGGATTATATAAAAAGGCTGAAGGTGTGCTTCTTCTAAAAATTATTCTTAATTGTAATTATTCTCTAAGTGATGAGGTTAAAGCTGAGTCTTATATCCTTACTGCAGTTCTCTATTTCCAGACTTTTAGTGATAAAGATATGTTGCTTCGAAGTCACTGAAAATGTTTCTTACAATACCAAACAAGAACAAAAAAAAGAGTGAATCCTAGAATTAGAATGGATAATGTAATAAAAAGAGTTCTAGACTAGGACTGAGTCTTTGGGGCTACTTCATAGAAGATAAAATCTGAAATTGTTTCTTTTGGAGAAAAAAAAAGCAAGGACAGTAACGTCTGCCCTGTCTGCCTAACACATTTATTTATAAAGTCAAGAGAGTTAACATTATGCGGTTAAGGGCCAGACAAAAGTTTGTTTATATGACGAATTTATATAATTAAAAACCAAAGTGGATATTGAAATTATCCAAATATGTTGATTAACATAGGCAGAAAAATTAGATAATTCATATAAAAATAATTAATGTGCCATTGTTAGTATAGAGTTATATGCACCAATTACAATATGCAATAAATTCTTTGGCAGAAAACATCTGTTAAACAGAAACTTTGCAAGCCGGGAATGAGCTGTTCTTAATAAGAACTTTAGCCACCCCTGCAAATCAATTTTATCTAATTTGTTAGAAACTAACATTTTTTTTTCTCAATTTGGGTTCAGGGGAAGTAAAAAAGGCCAGTTATATTTTTTGTGATAAAAATATTAGCTTTTTAATATGTAGAAATTTTTAGTCCTCTAAGAGTGTTTTATTTGAGAATTTGAAATCATGTTATAGCACACTGTTTGTTGCTGCTTTGTTGAGGTTTAGGCTAAACACTGTGGAGATCAATGCTGATCACTGTGGAGATGGGTCAATTTCCAAATAATTATATCCTTGAGGCTGGGAGTTTTGTTTCAGACAATTCTAGTTCATGAAAGCTCAGATGAGAAAAGTAGCTGGATTGTTAGGTTGCTTAACAGTTGCAGGAGAGGAAAGGACAGGAGAGGAGAGGGGAAAGGAGGGGAGGGGAGGAGAGGGGAGAAGGGGGAAGGAGAGGGGAGGGGAGAAGGGGGAAGGAGAGGAGAGGGGAGGTTAAATTTGTAAAATTAATGTTGTTATATTTTTCCTGATTCTTTAAAATCTTGTTTTGCTTTTTAATGTTAAAAATAGACTCTATGTTAATGATTTTATTCCTTCTTTTCCACACTCACCAAATGCTTACTAACAGCCTAAAACTATGCTAGATTTAAACTAGCTGTCTCTAGGGTAAAATATAATTTTAGATAAAATTATTTGAAATATGCAGAGTTTTTACCCTCCTTTATCATTTGATCTTTAAGATGCCTAGAAAAAAATCATTCTTGTTATAGGTGCCTTTTTGTCTTTTTTTCTTTGTTCTTTGTGGTGAGTTTTTTGTTTTTTTTTTTATCATGGTGAAACACATAACATAAAATTTACTGTTTTAAAGTATACACTAGTGAAAGGAAAATCCTGGGGCCCTAAAATTACTAAGGTAAAGGAAAAAGTCAAGCTGGGAACTACTCAAGGCAAACCTGACCCCCATTCTATTCAAAGTCATCCCTCTGCTCATTGAGATAGATGAAGATTTTGATTACCGCCTTCAGAGACTCAAAAGAATGCAACCATTTGTCTCTCACCTACCTGGGACCTGGAAGCCCCCTCCTTGCTTCAAGTTGTCCCTGCCTGATATGGTTTGGCTCTGTGTCGCCATCCAAGTCTCATCTTGTAGCTTCTATAATTCCCACGTGTTGTGGGAGGGACCTGGTGGGAGATGATTGAATCATAGGTGTGAGTCTTTCTCGTGCTCTTCTCGTGACAGTGAATGGGTCTCATGAGATCTGATGGTTATAAAATGGGGGTTTCTCTGCACAAGCTCTCTCTTTGCCTGCTGCTATTCAGGTAAGACGTGACTTGCTCCTACTTGCCTTCCGACATGATTGTAAGGCTTCCCCAGCTGCATGGAACTGTAAGTTCAATTAAACATCTTTCTTTTGTAAATTGCCCAGTCTTGGGTATGTCTTTATCAGCAGCGTGAAAACAGAATAATACACTGACTTTCTGGGCTGAACCAATGTACTTCTTACGTATATTGATTGATGTCTCCTGTCTCCCTAAAATGTATAAAACCAAGCTCTGCCCCAACCACCATGGGCACATGTTGACAGGACTTCCTGAGGCTGTGTCACGGGTGCTCATCCTCAACCCTGGAAAAATAAACTTTCTAAATTAACTGAGACCTGTATCAAATTTTCAGGGTTCACATGTGGTAACCACCAAGGGATTCTGAGTGGAGATTGCCCAGACCTTTGACAAATCTCTTTTTGGTCTCTGGTACCACCATGAGCTAACTTTATGGCTCAAACCAAGAGGACAATTTGCTGAGATCTGAGAGCACCCCCTGCAGAGAATCCCTGATTTCCCAAAATTTGGTAGAGAGCTAAAGTTTATTTTGCTGTACAACTCCTCTTTTTTTTTTTTTTTTTTTTTTTTGGAGTTTTACATGCTTCCAGCACAAGGGTGGCAAATTTTTCCTGTTTTCATGACAATAGAAGGCAGGTAATTCCTTTATGGAGTTTGAGCTAGCTTCCAACAGGGAAGATGATTTTTTTTTCCCCCTGCTTCTAGGATGGTAGAGAGCAGTCTTCAGCCTGAGACCTATCACTAGGTAAATAACTGAATTGGGGTTTGTCTTGGCTACAGTTAAGATTAACAACTAGCTGGTCTTAATTTCTTGTTACCATTAGAGTGCTCAGTGATCATTTTGTTGGGGTTTCTTGTTATTTGTTCTAGTCTTTCTCCCATTGGATTTGACCAACTCTACCTGACTTGATCAAATCTGAGTGAGAATTTCAAATTATGGGTAACAAGTCCTCTCTAATTTGGCCCAAATTCCTAGCCACTAGAAAAGTAAAAGGAAATAAAAAAGAGAAAACAACTGTGTGTTTGGTTTCTGTATTTGGTTCCTGCCTCAAAAAAAAATTGTTATTTCGTTTACTTTCTTCCACCCTTTACCTCCTTTCTCCTTTTGCCATCTGCAGTACCAAAAAAATCTAGAGAAGGCTTCTCATGACTTGAATCCCTTTAAAGAATTCAGAACAAAGGCATCACTCACCCACTTTGGGGGTGTTCTGTTTTCTTTGTGAAGTTTCAAGAGTCATGGGTAGATTCTTTTTAGGTCTAAAGCTCTGTTTTCCTGTATTGCATGACCTGACACTTTTTAGCTTTGGGGTACCAGAGATTAATTTGCACTGTGAGAGGCTTTGACCTTGGCATGTGTAATGGTGGAGAAGAGCTACAAAGTTATGGGTGACTGACTACAGTTTACGGGAAATGGTCTTGGCTGTGTGTGTGTGTGTGTGTGTGTGTGTGTGTGTGTGTGTGTGTTTTCTCTTTTCTGTCCTAGGAAGTTGTTGTTTAAGGATTCTAATTCTAGTTTGCAGTTGCATACTAAAGGGTCTTCTCCATTGATTTTTCTCTCAAATTTAATTTAATTCAGTTTGTCTGTGTGCATTTGTGTGAGGAACTGAAGGACTGAGTTTTCTCATCTCTGAAGGGAAAGGGCATTTACTCCTCCCAGCTAAAAGGTGCCCCAGGGTCACCGGGGACCATACGGGATTGGGAACACCCTGCAATGTGCAGTGGCCCTGCAGGGATATCCCTAACAAAAATTAATTTAAAAAATAGCTTGTCCAGAAAATGCATATAAGGGCTGATCACTCAAGAGTTTTGAGCCCTCTCAGAGGTCATAGACCTCTGGAGAGAGAAACTGAGACATGTAAGAGGGTGGAAATGACTCAGTGGTTACAAACTGTAGAGTTCTGCCCACAAACAGCACATGTTGATCCACCACACAAAAACCCTAGGCCTAGGCCACACCTCAGTTCCTCCGTTTAAGGAAAAAAAAAAAAAAAAAAACAGGAAACAATCCAAGAATGAGGAGACAACAAGGAGAATGACCTTCTTTCCAGCACTTTGTAGGTTTTATGGCACCTCTACTTGCCAGAGTAAAGTGAAAGAAATATGGTCTCCATGCATATTTACATTAAGGAAAAGGAGCCCTAAGGCCAACCTGCCAACTTAGAGTTCCTAGGTCCCCTTTTTCTCTATTTTCTTTTCTGGCTTCTTTAAATAAGCTATTACTTTTCTACTGAGATAAAAACCGCTGTTTGGATCTAACTTTTTTTTTTTTTTGCATGCTGATGAATTTGTATTAATCTCTTGGCTAAAGTACTGAAGTAAAAGCCATAGAATCTTTGTATGTGTGTATATGTGTATGCATATGTATGTGTGTATATTTGAAGGCCTTTAAAATAGACTTCTATAATTTTATGTTCAATTGGCAATTTAATTCATGTTAATTTCCCTTAGCTCCTGAGACTTTCTCTTCATACCTTATGATGTAAATTTTGCTGTCTGATTTTCACCTGAGTTGTTTCCTTTTATATGCAGATTTAGGGCTATTTAGCTGACAACTGCCAGGGTAAGGAAACAGGTTATCAAGAGTTTGCAAATCTAAGATAGGAAAAAAAAAGGAGGTCTTAGAAATCTATAAGATGCGTGCCTAATACAACTATGTATTTACGTATTGTGTACACATGGCTTCACTATTAAAAATATATAAAGAGCTCTAATTAATTACCTTAAGAAAATAAAAGCAGTTGAATTAAATATTGTATCAGGAAGAAAGAAAAGACTAGTCAAATGTTTTTTTCAAGTTTATGTAACTTAAGTCAAATATTTAATAAATAAGCTAGCTTTAAAATTATTGGTAAAGTAATATTAGAAATGTCTTGAGAATTTCCAGCATACATTTTTGTTTGCATTTATTAATCAAGCAATTTCATACTTATCACTGCAAATACTAGAAGGTGTCAAAGGGGTTATAAAAAAACCCAGCCCAAAACAGAATGATTTTTGCTTGTATAATTTTTAGTATTGTCTTTGTTTCAAAGCTAAACTATACACTAAGTTCCTCCCAAAGTTAGTTTGGCCTACACCCAGGAATGAACAGGGACAGCTTGGAGGTTAAAAGCAAGATGGAGTCAATTAGGTCAAATAATTTTCACTGTCTCTGTTATAATTTTGCAATGGTGGTTTCATAACTTTAAATCATGACTATCACAGTTTTCATAAATAATCTAGGTAAGCAATTAAAATAAAATATTTAGGTAAGTATAGTGGGATAAATACTTGTAGACAAACTTGTCATAATTTAGAATATAAATTTATATTAAATTAAACAGTATATTATTATCTGTGTATTTTCCAGTAAAAATATATTGTAGAAAAACATTCTTGCTAAAAAAACAAAAAGTGTGTCCTTTTAAAAAAGGGTGAACAAGTTTTGTCTAATTCAAAGCTTGTTTAAAGTTTATGTATAAAACAAGGTAAAGGAGCCAGAAAATAAGAGAAATGTACAGAAAGTTATAAAAATAAAGAGGTTTTTTGTGATAGGAAAGCTTAAAGAGAAATGATTTTATGTGAGAAAGAGTCTTGTATGGTAAATTTAGTCCTAAAGTAAAATGACTGGTTGTTTAAGAAAGAGAGATGTTCAAGATAAACCAGAAAGTCAAAGTATGTCATGAATGGTCTGTCTAAGTCACAATGAGAGGATTTATTTCAAAAAAAAAACAAAAACTTTTATATGATCAAGTTGTTTATAATTAAAGGAAAATTATAATTCTCTTTAGAGATTAGGTTTGCTATAAAAACACTTATACACTAAATTATTGGTTGGAACAAAGAAATATTCTTAAGGGGTTGATTTACTCATAATAAATTATAAGAGATTTTAATTTTAATTTTTAACCCAAAGTTCAACTTTTATTGCATCTCACCGTTTTTCACCTTTCTCTCCCGTTTTACAAGAAACTTTTTTTTGAAGGTCAAAAGGAAATGTTTTCTTCCAACATAGAATTCTGCGCACTGCAGGAGGTCTTTTCTTTTGCCTTTTGGTAACTGGCCTAACAGACTTTACATTTAATCGAAATAATTCCTATGGCACTATTATTAACTTTGGTTTGCTTAGGAAGAAACTCAGATTTATTTTTTTTCAATTAAGGTTATTACATCCATGTATCATCCTGTAAGTTCTTTTAAAGTCTTTGTGACATTGAGTTACAGGGCTTTGACTCCTGCATCTATAAAGGACACCAAGTCCCACTAAATCTTAAACACTGACAGCCATTAAAACCTCATTTTTCAGCCCCAAAGAAGATGCCAATCAAAATAAGCTTCATTCCTGAGACACAGGGCCAGAAATTAAAGCTAGTCAACTCCTCAAGGCCCAGGCACTATTGTGGAAGAGGTGGGCATGTGAGATTGTAAAGGCTGATTTTGAGAAATAAAATAAGTTCAGTTTCTCTATAAAATAATCATTAATGTCAAAGGCACACTGATGTGAGACCAGCATATGGGGCCCTGTATTAGATTAAGAAGGTTTTCTTGAAGCATTAACCAACTCTGTAATAAAGGTTGTGAAGGATATAAAAGGCTTTTGAAAGTTAAAATTTATGGTCAAGATTAAAATTTTATAGATTGTTTATAAAATTTTGAAAAGCAAATTTGGTTGGCTTCATGCTGTTTTTATTAGGATGTATTGTTTGGAAAATTAATTCTTCTTTCTCAGAGAATAAAGGTTTTCACCTTTTTTGAAATCCTTGAGTTATCACTTTGGTTAAATGAATGACTTATTTTACAATGACCTGTGATCCTATTTTGTGATACCAAGTGTTTTAAACCTTTGATATTTGACAAACTTTCCAAAATCAAATTATAAATTATGTCTTTTTCTGACCTAATTATTCCTTTAAGACATTAGGCTCCTTTAAGTCCAAAAATGACATAATTTGGCTTGTTTGGCACAAAAATTATACTGGAAACATTGTCAAATATGAAATGGTGTTTAGTTTTCTTTGGCCTGTATTTGTATAAATATGTTATTGGTATGTGTTCCAAAATTATGGGAAACTTCTGTAATTCTGATATATCTTAGTGTACATTATCAGTAATAATCATAGTTGTTATGTTAAAATTATTGTGTGCCACAGAGGTAACAGATTTCCTTGTCAATTGTTTCTTTGACTATGGCTGCCATAAAACCTTTTGTCATCCATGGATAATTGTGTTGTTTTGGTCCTCTTTAGAATATGGTTTTATAATCAGCTATAAAACTCTAACAGGTGCTCTTGAATGCAGGTTTCTGATAACCTTGGAGATTGTGACATCAGAATAGAGGAAAAACTTTCAGGACTCATGGAGAGCTAAAATGTTCATGAATATCAAGCAGAACAGGAATTAACTGCATGGACTGAACTAATCTTTTTGACTTTTTGCTTAAAACATTGCTGATCCTTTGTTTTGTTTTTCAGAGTCTTGAAACTTTTGAGTTATTGATATCTTTTAACAATTTAGTATACTTTTATGAACAAAATTTGGGGCATATTTGTTTCTCTCTACCTGATTTCTCCAGAATTTGGAAGCTATTTGTGAGCATTCTTAACTTATGGCAATACAGTTATTTGCATAAGTGCAATAAGAATCTGTTTTCATAAGTAACAGGACACAGCTGAAGAAACTTGTTATTTAACCAAGGCTTTGACTGGAATGGTTTGCTTTCCTTTAAGGAATCAAACTTGACTTATGGAGCCAATTAAAACCCTTAGGAAAACTGGCCTCATGTTCTATGTACAGAATCCCTGTACAGGGTTTCTGACCTGTGGTAAGTAAAGAAGGTCACTTTCTGACAGGTCCCGGAGCCCCAGGTATATCTTGGAACCTCAAGAGTAGAGGAAATTCACCCAACTCATAGGTATTTGATGGCACAAATCCATGACTGAGCTCAGCTTTAAAAAAGTCTTATCTGAGATGCCTTCTATGGAATAAAATTCCATCAAAGCCAATTTTAAAAAGCCTATATAAAAAATAATTTTTTCTGCACTTTATACAAATAATCTGACCAAGTGTAATAAAGCAAATCAGTCCTACCATGATTTGTCTTTAATAAAAATGGGAAACTTGACAGAGAAAAATTATGTTTCAAAACTATAGTACACTTGTTGTTAGATTCTAATCTTTTTTTTTTTTTTTTTTTTTTTTTTTTTTTTTTTTTTTTGAGATGGAGTCTCGCTCTGTCGCCCAGGCTGGAGTGCAGTGGCGGGATCTCGGCTCACTGCAAGCTCCGCCTCCCGGGTTCACGCCATTCTCCTGCCTCAGCCTCCCAAGTAGCTGGGACTACAGGCGCCCGCCACTACGCCCGGCTAATTTTTTGTATTTTTAGTAGAGACGGGGTTTCACCGTTTTAGCCGGGATGGTCTCGATCTCCTGACCTCGTGATCTGCCCGCCTCGGCCTCCCAAAGTGCTGGGATTACAGGCGTGAGCCACCGCGCCCGGCCTAGATTCTAATCTTGCCTAATGCTTTTCAATTTTTATTGTTTTCTACAATTTGTGCTGAATTCTATTTTTTCCTGCCTACAACTCTCCAAAATAATATTTTCATTTTTTCTTCTTTCTTTTCCTTTCCCCCTCATTTTTTTCCTAATTTGAAATCACTGAAAACTAAGCTGTTCTTTTTTACAGCCCTGAGAACTAAAGCTAGACAACTTAAACTACAAAGAAAAAAAAAACAGCAACCTATTTACATACGTAAGATCTATATCAATTTTCTAGGATCATTCCTTTGTTTGTTATTGTTTTTCTTCCTTCCTCCCGCTATCTTCTCTTCATAGGATCTGAGACTTCACAACTTTCTAAAAATGAGCTTTTGGGGCCTACCTGTCTAGGAATAAACCTTCTTAACCATGAAAGATCAGATGAAACCTGAGACCAGAGACTCATTTTCTTCTAAAATGCTTTCTCCAAAAGATGTTTAAAAAGAAAAGGAGGGAAATGTGAAAGGAAAATGTTGGAGCCCCAAGAATACTAAGCTAAAGGGAAAAGTCAAACTGGGAACTGCTTAGGGCAAACCTGCCCCCCATTTTATTCAAAATCACAGCTCTGCTCACTGAGGTAGATGCATATTCTGATTGCTTCCTTTGGAAAGGCTTATCAGAAACTCAAAATAATGCAACCATTTGTCTCTCACCTACCTGTGACCTGGAAACCTCCTCCTGGCTTCAAGTTTTACCCCCTTTTCTGGACGACCAATGTACTTCTTACACATATTGATTGATGTCTCATGTCTCCCTAAAATGCATACAACCAAGCTGTGCCCCAACCACCTTGGGCACATATCATCAGGATTTCCTGAGGCTGTCTCATGGACATGTGTCCTCAACCTTGGCAAAATAAACTTTCTAAATTAACTGAGACCTGTCTCAAATTTTCAGGGTCCACACAATTCAGTAATATTTAGTACCTTTGCAGTGTTGTGTGACCATCACCACTCTTTAGTTCCTGAACAATTTTGTCACCCCAAAGCTTTTATTTTTTCAAAAAGTTATTAGCATGTTTTTGAATTTTAAAAAAGTCAAGAAAAATAATGGGTTTTCTATATTTTGTATATAATTTAAGTGGCGTTGTTGTCTGGGATACATATCTGAGGTTCATAGTCTCATGCCAAAGAAATCGAGTACGCGGACACACAAAAAGTGGGTTTAGAAGTAGATATTTAATAGGTAAAAGAAGGAGAAAGGAGAATAGCTCTCTCTCCTGTGAGAGAGAGGGGTGCCTGAGTGGGACTTCTGGCCTGCAGCGGAGTACACAAGGTTTTATAGATAGGCTTGAGGAGGTGGTGTCTGATTTACATAGGGCCCAAGGACCTGTTGTGATGGTTACTTAGCTGGCAAAGAAGCTGACTACACCAGCGTAATCTTCTGGTTCTGCAAATGATTTTCTACTTGGCTGGTCTGCTCCCTACTGCACACATGGTTAGCAAGGGAAAAAGAAGATGGAGCTGCCATGTTGGACATGCCTAGCCCCCAGGTAGCCTTTTCCTATTGGAACAGCTGCCAGCATTCACCCGTGCAAGCTTCCAGCTTGCTTTTCTATGTCTGCAGCTCAATTTTACAGGCTGCTCTTTGTTAGAAAAGAAATAATTTGGGGGTTGCTTTTCATTAAAAGGGAAACCTTACCAAGGACTTCCTTTACCTTCACTAAATAATTTCTTTTTAACTCCTATGTCAAAATTAATAAAGTAAGAAATACAAACAATTTATATTATTGGCTATGCCTCTGATTTAGTATTCAAGTCTGATTTTTCAAGTATCAAAAGTGAAATTATTTTTTGGTATGAACAGAATGTATTTTTTTCAGTTTGATTATTATAAATTTAATACCTGCAGGTAATGAAGAAGCTGGTAAAATAGAAAATAGAGGAAAATAAAATTATCTAAGGTAATACTATTTTTATGTTGTATCTTCAATGTTATAAAATCATTTTCTATTACTTTAATTAGATAAAAAATTATTAACTAAATAAAAGATAACTCTCCAAATACAGATAACATTAGGTCAAATTATTTTAATATACATATATGTTATTGTTTTGTTTTGCAAATTTGGCATATAAGCCATATATAATTTAACAAAATTTTTTTCTTAACATTTATGGCAAACCTGCTACCATACTATTAAAAAACTTTCATAGCTATTCTAAGAACATATAAAAATTAGAGATAATAGGCTTAGTTATTATACATGTTGAAAATAAGGAAATAGACTTTCCTCTTCTCTTTTCTCTTAGAGCATTTACTTGAAAAACTTGTGATTGTAAATCTTTCTCCACTCTTTGAAATGTATATAAATCCTTTTAAAAACAAGGTAGGCTTTTTGTTTTATGACCCAGGAATATCTTTCTCAAGGACCTGGGCTCTATCTCTTTGAAGCATAAACATTAAGAAAGATATTAGTGCCATCTCCCAGTTTCTAGGAAAAGGTAGGAGTCCAATGTTGGTGAGCACCTTGCTCCAAGCAACCTCCTTTCATAAAGATATGAGATGTTTATTTTTCTTCTGGATAAAACCAGTTGGATAACACAGATGATCACCCCAAATTACCAGCTAAATTTAGGATAAACTATGTGTGGCACTGTTAAAGCTTCTTATTTGAGAGCAAGTTACTGTTGATTTTAAAAACGTGTGTAATGGGTTGTATCTGCTTGGCTTGTAAAAGGGTAAGGTTTCTTTCTGTTTTTGTAATCTCTTAGCAGATTGCCTGTGATGGGCACCGTGTTCTGGTTTAATTCAGTAATAAAAGTGTTGTTTTCCTTTCTACTACCTTTGTAGAGAGAATTTCTGGGTTGGGAGAAGGTTTTGTTTTGGATTAGATTTCCCCAACACTACAAAACACACCCCCACAAAGAGCTATAATTTGTTTTGTTGCACTTGAAATCTAGGTTATCTTAAACATTGTATTATTAATAACACTAATAAAATATTATATTCATTCTCATAGAAATATTTACCTTCTTTAAACAGCTTCCTGGAAAGAAATTGAGTCAAAGAGTAAACGTTATTTAGCTCTCGATATATGAATGATAGTCACATTTAACATGATATATTTCTGAAAATGGATATATTAATAAAAGTGAAACACATAAAAATCAAGCAGTAGATTTATATGTTGTGATTGGAATTCTGTTCCAAGATAATTAAAGAAAGAAACTATTCCTAATTGTTTTTGTGAATGCTTAATTTTTTACTCCTAAGAATTAAGAAATACGTATAGTTACAAAAACACTAAGTAGATTAAGCACTAAATATGAGCATTCATTTTCTGAAATATTTTTTTACTTTAGATTCTAGCTTTTTTTTTTTTTGAAATGGAGTTTCGTTCTTGTTGCCCAGGCTGGAGTGTAATGGCACGATCTCGGCTCACCGCAGCCTCCGCTTCCCAGATTCAAGCGATTCTCCTGCCTCACCCTCCCTATTAGCTGGGATTACAGGCATGTGCCACCACACCCGGCTAATTTTGTATTTTTAGTAGAGACAGGGTTTCTCCATGTTGGTCAGGTTGGTCTCGAACTCCCGACCTCAGGCCTGCCTCGGCCTCCCAAAGTGCTGGGATTACAGGCAGGAGCCACCGCACCCGGCCTTCATTCTAGCTTTCTTACTTTACATTCAAGCTATTAAAAACCCATCTCTTTTAATAGCTTGATACGTCTTTTAAATCTCTTTGTACATGTAACTTCTCCCACACCTTTTTTCTCTTGAAAATTAAAAAAAAAATTATAATTGTGTACATTTGAGGGTTACAACATGATGTTATGGGATACACATAGATAATAAAATGGTTACTAAACTGAAGCAGATTAACATGTCTACCATCTCACATTGCTAATTGGTGTGTGTGGGGGGTGTGTGTGTGTGTGTGTGACAAGAGCAGCTGAATATCTACTCATTTAACAAAAATCTGTAATAGAATACAATTTTATTCACTTTAGTTCTCATATTGTACGCTAGCTCTCTAGACCTCATCTACACGTCTGCTACTTTGTATCCTTTGACCTACACCTCCCCCTTTCCCCACTCCCACCCACATTAACCACTGTTTCATTCTCTGTGTATTTTAGCCTGTTTTTATTCCACATACAAGTTAGATCACACAATATTTTTCTTTCTGTATCTGGCTTATTTCAATTAGTTGAAATTTATTTGTTGAAGAATCCAGTTCATTTTTCTTTAGATTTTTTTTCTGTACATGCTGGCTTTTGCTGATAGAGTCCCTGAGATATTTTTTGACATGTTACTCTGCTCCCTGTATATACTGTAAAATGGTGGTTAGATGTAGAGAATTGGTCAGACTAAAGTTTGACATTTTGGGGATTCTACAATTCTTTCAGAAGACACATAATGTCTGGTGTGTGTGTGTGTGTGTGTGTGTGTGTGTGTGTGTGTATGTGTTGCCAGCAGCCATTGGGATCATTACCTAGCTTATTTAACTCACTAGAGGTTAAACAATTATGATCTTGTAATTGTATTGTTTCTGCTTTCCTGTCTTAGCTGGAAGATTTTTATAAAAAGAAACTTGCATCAGTTATTTGTTTATACTTACAATTCATATAGGAAAACTAAGCATTGATTTTTTTGCTTTATTTTCCTTTGTAATTTACATGATTTTCTCCAGTCTTCCAAATTTAATCAATGAATTTTAATTTAATTTTTATTTTTAGTGTCATTTTAAATCTATAGTTTTAACTACGTTAGAAATATGTCAGTACATTGCAAATTAGTATTCTTACTGAATTTCAAAGTAACCCATCCTTGGCCAATAAAAGCCTCTTAAATTTGGTTCTTGAGTCCTTTGACACAAACCTGGTAGTCTGATAGCTTATTTGCTTTTGCTTTGTGGCATCATATGAAGATATTCCAGCCTCAGTTTGCACATTTCTTGCCCTCAATCTAGAATCAGTCATTTCTCCAAGGAGCTCTGGTTCCATTTTATGAAAAAAACATATTGGATGAAAACAATCTAAATATTAGGGGTACTCATTGTAACTGGATTGTGTATCACTTAAATATTTTGAGTCTGATTCTCACTCCTTATTACAGCTCACCTTTTAGTCAAAATCTTTAAAAATAGTATACTTTCTTTAATTATATTGTTTCTTTACAAGTGAATATGTCATGTGGACTGAAGTCTAGAAGAACTCTAATTTTTCTATATTACATTATTTTAAAAATATGAGACAAAATATAATAGTTTTGAGACCCATAGTACAAATTCTTTAAGAAATCAAAATTCTAAATTTCTCTTTGCAATAAAGCACACAACTAGGTAGGTGGAGGCACTAATTTTAGTAATTGTAATTGTGATGTGCCAGATCCAGATTAATTTCTCTTCCTACACTACTTGAATTAATTACCATTGCAGTCCTATTAAGGGTACTATTATTTTCTCCATGTTTCATTTGTTGAATCTGAGCCCTGAGAGTTAGGTAATTTGCAAAATTATTCTCTAAGAAGTCTTCTCTTAATCATTATTGCACTCTTTACAGATAAATACTACCAAAGGATAGTGCAAATGTTTGTTTATTAGATGATGTATGAAAGTCCAATTTTAATATACAAAAGCAATTTGTTGTAATGATGGGATGAGGGGTTGGGTTCTCAAAATATATTATGTAAGTTGAAGATGTGATAAGTCATATCTATGTCTGCTAGACTAAAACTGTTAGTAAGCCTGATAACACAGTTAAGAAATGGAAAGTAGAAGTAGGCAACCAGGATGCAACCCTTCCCTTATATGATATTAGAGTAATGAAATTGGTCCTTGAGTACAGAAGTGCCTTCTCTTCCAACCTAAAATTTAAAAGCAAACAATCAAAAATAAACACATGAATGAATGAGTAAATGGATGGATGGATGCCTCTAATCTGGTGGGCTCCTCACTTGCCCAGACTACTGAGGGTATCCTAGTTCAGATACATTTCAAAGGAAAAAGGCAGGTAGAGCCACTAGAGCAACTTACTCATGTATAGCTTAGTTTTTTTTTTTTTTAACTTTTGCAAGTTTATTTGCTGGGTTGTTTTGATAAAGGACGCTGAGAATGCCCTAACTTGA
Organism: Homo sapiens; assembly: GCF_000001405.40. Classification (NCBI taxonomy): domain Eukaryota; kingdom Metazoa; phylum Chordata; class Mammalia; order Primates; family Hominidae; genus Homo; species Homo sapiens. The sequence goes on along the minus strand of NC_000007.14, from coordinate 113,612,311 downwards.
TTTGCAGTTGCCTTTCTCCCAATATCAGATGTGGACCAATGTATGTGGGCTGAGTTCAGAATGGAGAGTGCACATCTTGGTTTGCCAAATACCTCCAGCATTGTATTGAAATGCCGATCTTACCAAATTCTAAAAAATATTTAGACATTAGCATTAACATTTGGCTTTGTGACTGTCAGTACTCTATTTCTAAGATTGCCTTCCTGTTCTACGAGACAGTGGTGAACACTCTGAAATAGTATAATTGTTCTGATTCAGTTGAACATAAGGTCTTCCTGCTGAGAAAAGTTAAGAGTGCAGTCGACATATTATTGTTAAACTTCCCACTGCCTTAGCAAACATATTCTCAACATCTAAGTTCCTTTTCATGTGTGATGTGGGAATATGGAACCCATGGTTTACCACACCAGCAAGACCTTTCTAAGAGGACCAACAGCTGTAGAAATGTCAGCTGCTGCTATATTGGAATCTTGAAAAGTCAATGTGCTAATCCCAAGGAAGCTGGGCCATACTGGATTCCCTTTGCTTCGCTGTGAAATAACAAGACAGACTCTGGAAAGCCATGACTGAATGAATGAATTTTGTTCTTTTCTTGTGCTTAGATCACACATCTAGGCCCATCTCTCCCGTTTTACATTTCCTCTGGTTTACTCAGCCTGTCTGTTTGCTCCCATGTCCGTCTTCTATGCCTCTCACCTTTTATTTTTAAGGTCTGATATTAGTTGCCACCAAAGTTTGTAGGATTTACAAGACGGCTTTTCCAACCCATAGTCCTCTCTCTAGAGAACATATCTCTTTTCTCTGCCACTTAAACAACCCTGCCATCAACTTGATTTCAGACTTCTCATCTCCAGAACGAGAGAAAATACATTTCTGTGGTTTTAAGTTACCCACTTAAAATACATTTCTGTTGTATTTGTAATGGCAGCCCTAGAAAATTTATACAACATCCAAAACAGAACTCTAATTCTGCCTGTAACTCCACACAAGAGAGTTGATCTCCCAGACCCCACAATCCCAATGTATATGTTGCCACCAGCCACCCAGTTATCCACCAAAAACTAGAATCACCTTTGATGATGTTGTGAATCTCACATTCACATTTTAATAAATGTCTACAAAATCTCATTCATACAACAAATATTATTAAACAAGTGAGTGGACTAGATACCATACTAGGGACCCAGGATATGGCTGAAAAAAAAAACAAAACTGGTCTTTGACCTTATACATTTTTGATCAGGGGAAACAAACAAATCAAGTACAAGCAATCAACAACATAAATATACAAGAAATATTAAATGGCAATAAACAATAGGATTTAATGTTGTGATGAGATAAAAACTAGCAATGAGCCATGCTAGAATAAGAATGACAGACATCCAGGTGACATGTTAGAATGAGTGTCACAGCAAATGCAAAGGTCCAGAGGGTGGAAAAACCTTGGCATTTGAAAGAAAAGGAAAATATTGATGGAACAAGCAAACGGAAAAAGTTGCCAGGTGCTGCGCCAGGGCCAGACTATGCTCTTATTTTCCACAGGAAACATTTTATTAGAAGTGCATTGATTACCCTCTCCCTCCCCCCTTCCCCTCCTCCTCCTCCTCCTCCCCTCTTCTCCCCTCTTCCCCATTCTTCCTTCCTCTTTATTTTTTTTTTAAATCACTCCTATGACCTGGTCCAAATTGCCATCCTCCTCTCCTTGTTAACACCTTCAGAAACTGCCTAACTGGCTTCCCATTTCTTTGATTTCACCCTTTCCAACCTCTGCACAGCAACCATAGTAAGGCCTAAATATGTAAATTGCACTAAACCCTCCTCTAGTTAAAATCCCTCAGTGACTTCCTGTTGTGCTTAGAATAAAATCTAACACCTTGCCATGACTAAATAAAAGTCAAGTGAGTTAACAGATTAAGCATCAAGAGCAGAACATGTTCAGGGAATTAAAATTAAATGTCTTCCTATACAAAAATGGCACAGCATCCTTCCACATCTGGACTAAATTTCCTTTTTTTTTTTTTTATTTAGAGCGTTTTCATGAAGACACAAATAACCTGTCCATGAAAGACAACTGTGACACCTGGGTCACAAGCATAGAAATCCACAGAGCCCAGAATGAAAAGTGAATTCGGCTGGACTGAAGGGAAAAATAAGGAGTAGTGGAGATTGGAGAATTGGAGGATCTGTGCAGCATCAAAAAGGGAATACTACTATTTAGTTCTAGCTGTGTGTTCCCACGTGGGGCCACTGCCCATGGTTGCCAGATTTTTAAAAATTTTTTCCAAGGAAAATCAGAAATCATAATTTTATAAGAAATAGATGAATTTCTAAATAATGGCATTTAAATTAAAACACTTTTAACTGTGCAGGCCCCAAATAACTCATGTATACCTCAAATCCAGCAATTAGCTGCTAGCTTATAGCTTTTAAAAATCTGGAATAGAATAAAAAAGCCTCCAATGAAATGCTACACAAGACCAATAAGTTTTGATGAGGGCATGGGAAAGAAAGATAACTGAACCATCTAGTTTTGTTCAAAGAGCAGATCCAAGGGTTTAGGCTATATGTCAAACAATTCTGACTGGATGTTTCTCAAGTAATACAAAGGACATGTTCTCAATACATATATAAGACAGTCACCATTCTACAAGTTACACATATTAACTTACTTAATACTTAAGGCCAGGCATAGTGGCTCATGCCTGTACTCCCAGCACTTTGGGAGGCCATGGTGAAAAAAAATGTTTGACGGTAGGAGTTCAAGACCAGCCTGGGCAACATAGTGAGACCCCATCTCTACAGAAAAACAAACTATGCCGAGAGATGAACTATTGTTTATTAATTGTTAAGATGAAGAAACTGAAAAACAGATAAGCTGAGGATGTTGTTAGGATCCTTCTAGAAAGGATGAAAAAAGACAACAGGGGAGTGTGCCATGGGGCAGAAAAGCACTATAGGAGTCTCGTCAGGTGAAGCTGATGTGGCATCCTGCAGTTTTGCCTAGGATCAGCCTTGCTCAGCATCCTCTGTTGATTACCAGCTCCAGTGGGGCATTTCTAGGAATTTCAAGACATCACATAATGGGTCCATCATAGCTTTAGTAATAAATAGGCCACTTTGTGTGCTGTTTAGCTCCACAAATGCTTATACATTGCCATCTTTCTTCCCTCCTCTTCATGCTGTCCACATGAGCCCATCTGTTCCATTACCACCTATAAAAGAGTGTTACTCCATCCCCAGGGAGAGTTGAACTTGAAGACTGCAATGACATCATGGATATTGTTTTTTAAAAAATCAAGTTTATACAGAAAATGCATTTTCAGCAAGAACTCTGTCAGGTCACAGCTGTTTCAGTGAGTCATCTATCACTCTGAGGACTATCCCACATGGACCCAAGCAATAAAATCCCACGCACCAGGGAATAAATAAAGTTATGCTAACTCAAATATGACTCCCATCAAATATTTGCAAGAAACTTTTACACTGGCTAAGTGAAGAGTATGCAGCAGTGCTGCATCCACACACTGTATTTTTTAAAGAAATTGTGAGACTATGAGAATTTTGAAAATGAATTATTACCTCTGTGTAGAAAGTACTGCATTCTATCAGAGCTTTGGAATATATTTTTCTTTGATAAACAGGAAAAAATTCAATAAGTTAAATTGGTTTTAATAAAACCAACCAACAGAGCCTTAATAGGCCCAGTAGGTGGAATAGACAGCTGTCAAAATGGTAAAATCTGAGTTTGGTACAAAAGTTCTGACATTCCCAAAATACATTCTCCAATTGCCTGTCATGGGCCCTGAGAATTTTATTGTATTGGGATAAGGCATTATGCCCATGAAATATTAATAAATGGACAGAAAATATATTAGCACATGTTGATTTATTATTCTCTTTCAAAAAGGTAGTCTTTCGCTGGAGTTTTAAATGGAGACCTTGGGTAGCTCTAGGCATTAAACGTATTGCCAAAAGGAGGAAGAATATCACTAAGAAAGAAGATGCCAAATAAAACTTCTCCATTCTGATAAATTTGCCCAGACTGGTCATGCTATTCTGCTGTTTCCTTGGAAAATGAAATAAGAAAAACAAGGAAAGAGAAAAGAAAAAGAAAAGGTAGTGATTAAAAAGAAAAAAAAGTAAAATGACAAGGGCCAATATGTCTTTTAACTGCTTGACTTGGAATGCACATGTTACAAAAACTTCTCTTATAAGGTAGCCTCATAGATATGTTTTATTCCTGACTTTGAAACTAAGAAATTTATTGGAAAACATTGAGTAAATTAATACTTATTTCTCCAACGCCTTCTGGTATTTTCTATATCAACAAGTACTGATTCAGGCCCTTTTTGAACCTACCCTAGAATGGATACCTGCTCTTTTCTCTGATACTCTTTATGTCGTTAGACAATTCTCTTAGAAAGATAGTCTTCATCATGTAACTTCTTCTTGTTAATTCTGAAGCCACAGAGAGAAAATGATTGGAAAGGTTAAAGTAATGCTCTTTGCCTCACCAGAGGGAAAGATGTCTCACAACAGTAATAACCTGTGAGCCTTTCTATTCATCTGGAACCAACTTTATACTTAATAAACTAAAGCAGTGCTGTCCAGAAAAATATGTATGACCCACAATAAGTAATTTAGCATTTTCTACTAGCTACATTTAAAAAGCAAGATATACTTATTTATGTTTTAATTTTATCTTACAGTACTTTATAACTAATAAAATATTTTTAATATTTTATTATTATGTGACTTACTGAAACCATTTTATTCAAGGGATTAGCATTTCAATAGTCAATATACAAATTATCAGGCTGATTTTTTTATTCTTTATTTCATACTAAGTCTTCAAATCCAGCAAGTGTTTTACACTTACAGCCCATCTCAATCTTTTTTCTTCCCTAGAGCTCATCTCCCTTCATATGCTGAATTTTCAATGGTTAATATGAGCTGTACTTCTGCAAAAACAGTGAAGTATTTTAAGTGAAAAAATAGTTTTAAATAATTTGTTTTTAAATTTAAATTAACTACAATTAAGGAAAATTGAAAATTCAGTTCCTTAGTTGCACTAGGAACATTCTAAGTGTTCTATAGCAACTTGTTGGCTACCATGTTGGATACTACAGACCTAAAGTATCAAGTCAGGTTGAAGTGTTCACATGAGGTAATCACATTAGCATATTCAGTAGGCTTACTGAAGAAAAACTTTGAAGGAAAAATTGTAAACCAAATCCAAACAATAACCAAAATGAAGCACTTCTGCAGGATAAAATATCTGTCAGGACAAAGATCCTTTTGTATGACCAAGCTTGCATATAGAAATAAAGACTATGCCAGCCTTTGATTTCAACAATATGAGGATGTGAGTCGCTCCATGTATGGTCTGGAGAGTCAATATCTGCAATAGAAAAGGTTTATTCTTGAAAATCAGACTAGCCCTACATGTTTTGTCTGTGACACCCTGGTACAAATTACAGGAAATCTGTCAGTAAATGATAAACAATCAATACATTTGTTATTAAAATGGATAGAGAAAGTTATAGTGTCATTTATAATGCCTAAGCATTTAGCTTATTCATATACTAATTTACTTAATGTGATTTTGAAACTTTGAAGATAGCCATGCATATAGAAAGTTACTTAATTAGTGACTTAATATTGAGTCGTCTTCTGCCTCATGGTGAAATGTGCAGCTAAAGGGTGTGAAAGTGTTTTCTGGAGCCCATGTATTTGGAATCCAGTTGATCCTTCAGTATGGAACTATAAATAAGAAATCATTTGACTGGTTAAAAAAATAAATATCATGACCTCAATATTGGCTCACAGCCTGGAACATGTCAACTCAAATGGTTTGGGTATTACATTATTCATCGTTTTTATCTGGATATTTCATTCCTTTCTTACTAAAACTTCTAATATTTCCTACCCCATATGCACTCTCGCTAATTTTACTGAAGAAATTGAAGCAATAAGAAAAATCTCAGTAGCTCTGACCACCCTATATTTGCTCACTGATTTGAAATTGTGTCCATATACTCTGTGTGAGCAGCCTGCGCTCCTAAGGCTGATGTTTTCACTTAGACATTAGATTGCATCTTCCCTCACCTCCCTCCAGGAATTTCTCCATTATTTTCTTAATCATTAATTTTCTTAATAATTAATTACAAGTCACAACATGTGACTTATAATTTTCATTGGCCTATAGACAATAATTTCTCATTGTAGAAAAAAATCTTTCTCTTGACACAGAACCCCCTTGATTTATTTCATTTCATAACATCCCATTGCATCCAAACTCCTCACAGAGCTGTCTAACCTCACTGTCTCAGGTCCTCTCCTTCCATTCTGTCTGACTCCCTGAACCCATCTAAATAGATTTCGTCCCTACTACTTCCCTGAAATTGTCCTTTTTTAAAAATTGACCTTCATATTGCTAAATCCAATGATAAATTATCAGTTATTGTCCTACTGACTTAGATGATTTCTCTCCTGAAATGTTTTTCTTTCAGGAATCCACAATCTCCTGATTTTCCTTTTAATCCGACACATTTCTTTACACTAGTTCCTCCACTTTTCCCCACATTCTGACTCTGAAGCGCCCTAGGATTCAGTCCTTGAAACTATTTTATACATTAAATCACTTCCTGGTGATTTCATCTAAGTTCATGGCTTTAAATATTATTTCTTTGTGGGAAACACTCTTTCCTAGACTCCAGGCTCATACATCCAACTGACAGGTTAACTTCTCCACTTGGATATTTCATAAACATCTTAACTTAAAACCAAACTCCTTATCTTCCTCCTCAAAGTGTTCTTCTTGTCACCAATAACCAGTTATTCTTCCAGTTTCTCATGCCAATATCCTTGGAATAATTCTTGACTCCCTTTCTCCCCTGCTCTGTGTTCAATCTGTTGCCTTATTTTGCATTTCCTTGATTATCAAACAGTTAAATATGTTTCCAATTGTATACTCTTTGAATAAATAAATAAGTAAATAAATAAATAAATAAAATACTCTTTGTATTTTATCTGTTAAATGACTGTTCACATCCCTGACACATTTTCCTTTTGGAATGTTGCTCTTTTAGTTATTCTTTATTAGTGTGTAGTAGTTCTTTTTGCCTAGAATGAAAATCACTTTATTGTATTTTTCTAGATTTATAAATAGTACAATGTGATTGTTAGGAAAAATGAATAACACACATATAAATAGTAAAGTATATATGATCTAAAATCCTACTATCCTTAAAAATCACCATTGATATTTCATTGATTTCTTTTTTATATCTGTTTATGAATATAAATATAATTTTAATAAATAGGACTCTGGCATATATATTATCTGTTTGCTTTGCTTTATTTTATTATGTGTTTCCAATGGCCACTGAATTTAAGGCAGTTTTTTTTTTCTTACATTCTCTTTTTCTACTGCCTTCCTCCTCATCTTCTTCTGCAAGACTAACCTTACTCCCCACTGCAGGAATCTACTATGAACAACCCTTTGAAAATTCTTCTATAACCCTCTGTATGATAATTTAATTAAGTCTTATTAGACTACATAACTTCTCTCTCCTTCTCTCTCTCTGACACACACATGCACGCACACACACACACACATTTTTAGTAACAGTTAATGTTATCAAATATACAAAAGAAGGTATAATCATTTCTTGCTATCCCTGGGGGATTGTTTTCAGGACCTCTTGATGACACTCTGAGGATGCTCAAGTGCCTGATATAAAATGGTAAACTCTTTGCATATAACTTATGCACGTCCTGCCACAGGCTTTAAGTCATTTCTAGATTATGTATGATACCTAATATAAGTAAGTGCTTATGTAAATAGTTATTATACTGTAATGTTTAGGAAATAATGATGAGAAAAGTGTGTATAAATTCAGTACAGGTGCAATTTTTTTTCCTAATATTTTTGATTGATGGTTGGTTGAGTTCACAGATGTGGAACCCATGGTTACAGAAGGTCAACTGTATATTCTTAGTCTGCTGTTTTCTCCTCCCTCATGCCTCTGCCCCATTACACCCAATCATTTTTTCCTTTACTTTTTGCTCACCCCTCTTTCCCCTTTTTACTGTAAATAAATATGTTAATATATTATTTCCTTCACTCAGGTAAATAGTAGTATACAATACATACTTTCCTTCAAATTGTATATTTTTTCACCTAAAAATATGTTACCTACAATATAGTATAAAGTACATGGAGATCTACCTTCTTTATTTTAAAGGTTGGTAATGCTCCATTGTTTGTGTGAATGGATGCTAATTTATTCAACTGTTTCTTTTTGATGGATATTTGGCACTTACTGGCCATGTTAACACATCTTTATTTTTCCTGCTTAATTCTTCTGACTGTATTTTTAAAAGACCTTTATCATTTGTAAAATTATTCTGAAAAATTACTACATTAGCCAATGTCGTGCTGGAGGAAATTTTTCTTTTTTTTTTTTTTTACAGTAACACATTGCCAAATTTATTAGATAATGCCAGACTGCTTTCAAAAGTGGTTGTACTATTTCAATTTGCATTTCTTTTGTTTTCCTATTAATTTTTTTAAAATTTAACTTTAAGTTCTGGGATACATGTGCTGAACATGCAGGTCTGTTACATAGGTATACATGTGCCATGCTGGTTTGCTGCACCTATCAACCCATCATCTAGGTTTTAAGTCCCACATGCCTCAGGTATTTGTCCTAATGCTCTCCCTCCCCGTTCCCCCCACCCCCCAACAGGCCCCAGTGTGTAATGTTCCCCTCCCTGTGTCCTTGTTGTTCAACTCCCACTTATGAGTGAGAACATGAGGTGTTTGGTTTTCTCTTCCTGAGTCAGTTTGCTGAGGATGATGGCTTCCAGCTTCATCCATGTCCCTGCAAAGGACGTGAAATCATTCTTTTTTAATGGCTGCATAGTATTCCATGGTGTATATGTGCCATATTTTCTTTATCCAGTCTATCATTGATGGGCATTTGGGTTGGTTCCAAGTCTTTGCTATTGTAAATAGTGCTGCAATAAGCATACATGTGCATGTGTCTTTATACTGGAATGATTTATAATCTTTTGGATATATACCCAGTAATGGGATTGCTGGGTCAAATGGTATTTCTGGTTCTAGATCCTTAAGGAATCACCACACTGTCCACCACAATGGTTGAACTAATATACACTCCCACCAACACCGTAAAAGTGTTCCTATTTCTCCACATCCTCTCCAACATCTGTTGTTTCCTGACTTTTTAATGATCGTCATTCTAAATGGTGTGAGATGTTATCTCAATGTGGTTTTGATTTGCATTTCTCTAATGATCAGTGATGATGAGCTTTTTTTCATAGGTGTGTTGGCCACATAAATGTCTTCTTTTGAGAAGTGTCTGTTCACATCCTTCACCCACTTTTTGATGGGATTGTTTGGTTTTTTCCTTGCAAATTTGTTTAAGTTCCTTGTAATTTCTGGATTTTAGACCTTTGTCAGATAGATAGATTACAAAAATTTTCTCCCATTCTGTAGGTTGCCTGTTCACGCTGATGATAGCTTCTTTTGCTGAACAGAAGATCTTTAGTTTAATTAGATCTCATTTGTCAATGTTGGCTTTTGTTGCAATTGCTTTTGTTGTTTTAGTCATGAAGTCTTTGCCCATGCCTATGTCCTGAATGGTATTGCCTAGGTTTTCTTCCACGGTTTTTATGGTTTTAGGTTTGACATTTAAGTCTTTAATCCATCTTGAGTTAATTAAACATGGAATCCTTTCCCTATTACTTGTTTTTGTCAGGTTTGTCAAAGATCAGATGGTTGTAGATGTGTGGTGTTATTTCTGAGGCTTCTGTTCTGTTCCATTGGTCTATATGTCTGTTTTGGTACTGGTACCACACTGTTTTGGTTACGGTAGCCTTATAGTATAGTTTGAAGTCAGGTAGTGTGATGCCTCCAGCTTTGTTGTCTATGCTTAGGATTGTCTTGGCTATACAGGCTCTTTTTTCATTCCACATGAAATTTAAAGTACTTTTTTCTAGCTCTGTAAACAAAGTCAATGGTAGATTGGTATGAATAGCATTGAATCTATAAATGACTTTGGGCAGTATGGTCATTTTCATGATATTGATTATTCCTATTCATGAGCATGGAATTTCTTTCCATTTGTTTCTGTCCTCTCATTTCCTTGAGCAGTGGTTTGTAGTTCTCCTTGAAAAGGTCCTTTATGTTCCTTGTAAGTTGTATTCCTAGGTATTTTATTTCTTTGTAGCAATTGTGAATTGGAATTCAGTCATGATTTTGCTCTCTGCTTGTCTATTATTGGTGTATAGGAATGCTTGTGATTTTTGCACATTGATTTTGTATCTTGAGACTTTGCTGAAGCTGCTTATTAGCTTAAGGAGTTTTGGGGCTGAGGTGATGGGGTTTTCTAAATATACAATCACGTCATCTGCAAACAAGACAGTTTGACTTCCTCTCTTCCTATTTGAATACGCTTTATTTCTTTCTTTTGCCTGATTGCCCCGGCCGGAACTTTCAATACTATGTTGAATGGGAGTGGTGAGACAGGGCATCCTTGTCTTGTGCTGGTTTTCAAAGGAAATGCTTCCAGCTTTTGCCCATTCAGTATGATATTGGCTATCAGCTTGTCATAAATAGCTATTATTCTTTTGAGATATGTTCCATCAATACCTAGTTTATTGAGAGTTTTTAGCATGAAGCGCTGTTGAATTTTATCAAAGGCCTTTTCTGCATCTATTGAGATAATCATGTGGTTTTTGTCATTGGTTATGTTTATGTGATGGATTACACTTATTGATTTGCATATGTTGAACCAGCCTTGCATCCCAGGAATGAAGCTGACTTGATCGTGGTGGATAAGCTTTTTAATGTGCTGCTGGATTCAGTTTGCCAGTATTTTATCGAGCATTTTCACATTGATGTTCATCAGGGATATTGGCCTGAAATTTTATTTTTTTGTTGTGTCTCTGCCAGGTTTTGGACCAGGGTGAAGCTGGCCTCATAAAATGAGTTAGGGAGGAGTCCTTCTTTTTCTATTGTTGGAAATAGTTTCAGAAGCAACGGTACCAGATCTCACTTGTACCTCTGGTAGAATTTGGCTGTGAATCTGTCTGACCCTGAGCTTTTTTTAAGTTGGTCAGCTATTAATCACTGTGTCTATTTCAGAACATGTTATTGTTCTCTTCAGGAATTCAACTTCTTCCTGGTTTAGTCTTGGAGGGTGTTTGTGTCTATGAATTTATCCATTTCTTCTAGATTTTCTAGTTTATTTGCACAGATGTGTTTATAGTATTCTGAGATGGTAGTTTGTATTTCTATGGGATCAGTGATGGTATCCCCTTTATCATTTTTTATTGTGTCTATTTGATTCTTCTCTCTTTTCTTATTAGTCAGGCTAGCAGTCTTATCTATTTTGTTAATCTTCAGAATACCAGCTCCTGAATACATTGATTTTTTGAAGGATTTTTTGTGTTTCTATCTCCTTCAGTTCTGCTCTGATCTTAGTTATTTCTTGTCTTCTGCTAGCTTTTGAATTTTTTGCTCTTGCTTCTCTAGTTTTTTTAATTGTGGGAAAAGCATAGTATCTGGGCCAGATAGCACCATCCCTCACAGCACAGTCCCTTATTGCTTCTCTTGGCTGGGAAAGGGAGCCTCCCTGCTCCTTGCATTTCCTGGGTGAGGCAACGCCCCACCCTGCTTCTGCTTGCACTCCATGGGCTGCACCCACTCCCTAACCAGTCCCAATGAGATGAACAGGGTACCTCAGTTGGAATTGCAGAAACCACCCACATCCTCTGTTGGTCTTGCTGGGAGCTGCAGACCAGAGCTGTTCCTATTTGGCCATCTCGCCAGATCCCTCCTCAAATCTTTTAATATTTTTTGTAGTGTATCATTGTGATTGATTCCTAGAAATAGGATTGGTGGGTCAAAAAGTAAATTCATGTGTGATTTTACTAGATATTGTACCATACAATATCTATGGTAGGATTGTACCATTTCCTGTCTCTAACCAGCAACATATGAGAATACATACTTTCCTACATTCTTAGCAAATATTGTATTGTAAAATATTCGAAATATCTCTATATAATTTCAATTTATCTGAAGAGGTCAACTGAATACAATTTTGTATGTTGAAGAGCCATGTGTGCTTTTCCCTTATGAACTGTTGGTTGCCTATTTTTCTATCAGAACGTTGTTTTTATTTTCTTTCCCCCTGTTTCCTCTTACATATTTACAAAAATAACTGGCTTCTTGCTGCTCTCAGTGGTTGGACTCTACCCAATTATACTTTGTAATTTGGGGAATAGATTGTCATCTAGTTTTTTGTTTGGTTGAAAGCTTTTAATTTTGATATAATTTCAAATTTATAGAAAAGCTTCCAAAATAACACAAGGAACTCCCATATACCTGTTACCTAGCTTAATAATTTGGTATATTTTGCCCTATCTACTTTCTTCTGTCTCTCTCTGTATATATGTGCATGGACACACAAACACACACCACTTAAGTGTGTATTTCTTAAAACCAGGATATTCTTTTACATAACCCACCTAACTATCAAAAATCAGAAAATTGAACATAAACATAATGCTGTTATCTAATCCACAGTTTATATCCAAATTTGGTCAATTGTTCTAAAACCTGTTTCTTCTCCCAGTATAAAATGCCATCTAGAATCATGCATTGCAGATAGTTGCTATGCGTCTTTAGACTCATTTACTCTTGTATAGCCTTTCACTTTTTTGATCTTAACATTTTTTGAAAAGTACAGGCCAGTTACTTTGTGGAATGTCCCTCAATTTGAATGTGTCTGACATTTCCTTGTTAGAATCAGCTTATGCATTTTTGACAGGAATACCACAGAATATATCTATCCTTCTCAGCATCAGGAGAAACATCAGGTTTTTTTTCCTAACATTAGCAATGTTAACTTAGAGCTTTTATTTAAGGTGGTATCCACTAGGTTTCTGCACTCTAAGATTACTGATCCCTATGAAATTAATACATTTTTGTGTGAAGAAATACTTTGCTTTAAATATTGTTTCTCACCAAGTTTTTAATCCACTAGTTTTAGTATCCACTGGTGATTTTCTAATCTTACCATTTTTTTCTGTATTTATGAGTTGCCACGCTACTGAAAGAAGAGCTTTTCCTTCTTATCCAATTATTTACTTGTATTTTATTTATATTGTCACGTACAAATGGATTCTTACTTTGTAATCTATTTCTACCATTATTTTAATTGATCCTCAAGTTATCTCAGATTTGGCCAAAAGGAGACATTCAAGTTGGCTTCTTTACTCTTTTATTCTATCCCCATCATTCTTTGAACACTTTATTACTTTATTATTCTTTATTATTCTGGCACAACTAGATGTTCCAAGTTCATCTTGTATTCTCCATGATCCAGATCTGTAATCATTTTATTTTCCTCTGAAGTGACCTTGGTGGTCATAGAGAGTTAGCTATTTTTATTTTAACTATTTTTAGATTTACATCTCTCCTTTTGTGGTTTTCTTTTAGATTAAAAACGTTTCTATTGTTTTCTATTTTTGCTATAAATTTTTATTCAGTTATTTTAGATTTTGGCTATTTTTGTGGACTAACATATTAAGGCAACCCTTCCACAACCAAGGATGACTGCTAAATCTGGATAAAACACTTTTAGAAACATATGTGAAGGGACTAGATAAATTAGGAAATCAGCAAGAGCCAGAGGGTTCAATGTTGCAGGTAAGAGGGATGTGTCGGTAAATAAGCCCGACTTTCTGCCTCTTGAGGCATTTTCCAATTAATAAGCCACAGCTGAGTGGCTGAGAAGCTGAGCAGAAAGTAGTAAGAAGGAGGCTGAAAAGCTCAACAGAGCTTTCAGAAGTCACATAATGCTGGAAAAACAAAACTTACAGGTTAGAAATCACAAGGAGGACGGATACTGGTCAACAGCCTAGGATTTTTTGGGACCATTGAAGATTTACATCTGAGTCTTGGAAAAAATTCTGAGTGAAAAAAAAAAAACAACTCCACTCTCATTTCATGATCAACACAGAAGACTTCTCTGACCAAATGTGTGTTTCTTTTCCCCCCGACCAACAAGCAAGCAATAAAATCTGCAGTAGACACCAGCTAGGTGTCTCCCAATTCCAATACTGTCTACCTGGTGTTACTATCAGATCCCACAGGTATTAGGCTCAGTCCCACAAGACTGACCCCAACTCCCGATGCGAACTGCAAGCCCCAGGTTGTTTTACCTGAACTTTTGACTGACCAGCTATAAATCAGGATTCCCACAACCACCTCCTTGGTTTAAACTGCTAGAGTGGCTCACAGAACTCAGGTTTACTGGATATTATAAGGGATATTACAAAGGATACAGTTAAAGAGATAAATAGGGTGAGATATAAAAAAAGCTTGGAGGGAGTAAAGGCAAACCAGAAAGAAAAAGCCATTCAAAAATAATGAAATATATGTTTGAATTAGTTCAATACTCTATCAATTTAAGGTTATCTGCTCCTTCATTAACTTTCTGCTAGAGCAAATGGAAATTCAATATAGAGAGTTCTAATAGTCTAAGAACTTCAAATTATCTTTACAAGAATTCATAATCAACATTTTTTATGCACACAAAAACTTTGTCATAACAGAAGACAAGACCAAAGGATCAAAACAGAAAGAAAATGCTTATAGTAGAAATAGGCCCATGTGATCTAGATGCTGAATTTAATTAGACTCTAAAATAAATGATAAAATAATATGTTTGATGTGCTAGAGAACAAGATGAAGAATTTCACCTGGGAACTGGGATCTATGAAATAGAATCAAATAGAAAATTTAGGAATATAGAATAAAAACTAAAATTAAGACTCAATAAGTGGGTTTGAGATAAATGACCCAAAATAAGGATTAGTGAACTGGATTGATGATCAGAAGAAAATATCCACACCTAAGGACAGTAAGATAAAAAATTGGAATATACAGTAAAGGGCACAAGAGAATAGAAAGAAAGAAATGTGTCATTAACAGAGCCTAGAACTCCAGGATGTTGTATGTAGCTAGAATCACAGTGAGGGCTGCTTGTTGACAGCTGGGGCATAAGAGATGCAGAAGGGAATTCTTAGCAGTAGCGGAAGTTGCAGATGATTCCCCAGCCACTAGAAAGATGCCATAGTGAGAAGACTTTCCCTGACTTCTTTTCCCAACCTTCAATATTTCACATAACCAACACAGAAGCCAATTCACATGGTGGCATGGGAAATACAGTTCTCTATGTTACAGAGTGTGTAAGCAAACAATCAGTGAATCGACACAGATGCCAACTTTACAAGTTTCCAAGGATGAAGCTCCTGTACTCCACCTCCCACTTACTTAGTTTTTATCTTATTAAAAAGGAGCTGAGAAAAACAGAATTTAATTCCTATGATCAGGATGACTTCTTACCTGGTTTTCCAAAATAGAGGTTATTTTGAAAAATAATATTGAGATTAGTATAAAATGACCAGTGAATCAAACATTTTAACTGAGCTGATAAAGTTCTGTTTTGACTACTGGAGGGCTAGCGAGTGATTTTTTTTCAGCAAAAATATGCAAACTAGTTTGTACTCATAGATAAAACATAAGCATGGGCACATATTTCCTTGCTGAAACAATTTACACTTATCTTAGCTCTTAAGTGTTTACTTTATGGGATAGAATTCCTGTGTAAACCTAGCTTATCACGGGAAAATGGTCCAACATATTTTAAAAAGCTATCTTCAAATGTTTATTTTGTAAATTATATATCATCCTCTTTAGTACCAAATATTAAATTTTAGGTAGAAACTGAAATGTCATCCAGAAGTATTTGACATGAAACAATTTGAAGGAAGTGATTTTAAGTTAAGCTACTTTTCAGGCAATAAAAGAAAGATTGAAACAACCTTGGGAATTGACTAACTATACTATTTTTCTCAAGTAATGAGCTCCCTAAAGTGAACTAACAATCAGAAATCATGATATTCCTACTTTCTGTGTAACGGTTGCTAGGTATTAGTAGGTAATGAGTTTGAGAATGTTCTCTTTGAACTAAGACCAGGACTGTAAGCTATAACATTGAGTAAAAGATAATTATACTGTTAAAATTTCAAATGTATTCAATCATGAGTACCTGCCGTGCCCTAGTCATAACACTAAGCATGAGACTTCCAAAATGAGTAAAACAGCTTCTACTCTTAAACTGGTGGCAATCTAGTGGAAGGGTAGATTATTAATAGACACAAATCTATGAGGTATAATTATTAAGGTTTAACAAAAGATGCATAAATTATATGAGATTTTTTGAAGAATTCATTGTGCAGTAGATAAGTGGAAAGAATAGGATTTAAATTATGTTTATAACAGATTTTTAATTTGTATAGATAGATATGAATATATACAATTCTGTAAAGAAAATCAATTGTTAAAGTAGTTACTCATGAGTTATGTGATTATGACTAATTTGTATTTCTTAAAACATAATTTTCAAATTATTTTCTTTCATTGTGAAAAAGGATTAGATTTTAGTTATTAAAAAAACTGGAACTCTTTAACGATGAACCATCTGCTGAGAAAGCAATTGCTTTGTTCTAAGGCAGGGATTGGCAAGTGACAACCAGCAGGCCAAACCCAGCAGTCTGTTCTTTGTTTTATGCTCGTTTATGGATAAAGTTTGCCAACCCTGCTCTAAAAAACAGAACTAATATTTTTATGCAGCTGTGTACATTACCAGATAGACTCGGGGGTAGATTTTCCCTGCATAAGCCCGGTCCATAATGCTGGTTACTTCTGATGATCTTGGAACATAGACTTTATAGGTCTTGAGGGGTTTCTTTCGGGATCACAGGTAAGAAAAGTGCCCAACTCTTAAATGCTGAAGAAGAGAGGCACACCAACATGGCACATGTATACATATGTAACAAACCTGCACGGTGTGCACATGTACCCTAGAACTTAAAGTATAATTATATATATATATAGAAGAGAGGAAGATTTTTTTTTCTGTAAGGCAGCATTCTTACATTCTTGCATCTTCAAGCCAGACTAAAGTGCGCCTTTCTCAGATGTGAGACATGCACTCTTCTTTCTCTTCCTCACTGCCACGTTCACTTTGCTTTTTCAGTGGTATGTAAGAATTTAAGAATATCAAGATGAAGGAAGAAACACATCATAGATTAGCAAACTACCACACCCCAGGTTTTCTTAGATTAGCAAACTACCACACTCCAAGTTTTCCTAGATTAGCAAGCTACCACACCCCAGGTTTTCTTGCCAGTCATTAAGGCACTGTTTTTACATTTTGAGTTTAGTTCTGAATTCCCAAGAGCTTCAACATACGAAGGGTGGTGAAGCGGCTGTTACCACAGCCCCAGCTCCAGTGCCTGGTGTGCTCCAGGCCCTCATGAGATGTCCTGTCTCCCACCTCAGATGCATTGCAGTGAACTCCCAGCTCTCCATTGTGGTTCCTCAGTCTTATTTTCAGGAATTCTCAGCTTTTGACCTTTGCCAAACTTCTAAACTCCTCAGGGACTAGAAACTTAATTCAGTAGCTTTGCCCTGAATCAAACAAGAATACAAAAGAGAAACTCACATATGGTCCAAATTATGTAGTGCATTTAAAAGTGTATGTGGCATGAATTTTGGATGGATCTTCCTCTCACTTTAGTATAGTATACTTGGCTTGTGGACAGTTGATCTCCTTAAATATCCCACCCAATTCTGTCATTGTGTGTCCGGAATTGGTGGGTTCTTGGTCTCACTGACTTCAAGAATGAAGCCGCAGACCCTCCAGGTGAGTGTTACAGCTCTTAAGGTGGCGAGTCTGGAGTTTGTTCCTTCTGATGTTCGGGTGTTTGGAGTTTCTTCCTTCTGGTGGGTTCGTAGTTTCGCTGGCTCAGGAGTGAAGCTGCAGACCTTCGCGGTGAGTGTTACAGCTCTTAAGGCGGTGCATCTGGAGTTGTTCGTTCCTCCCGGTGGGCTCGTGGTCTCGCTGGCTTCAGGAGTGAAGCTGCACACCTTCGCGGTGAGTGTTACAGCTCATAAAAGCAGTATGGACCCAAAGAGTGAGCAGTAGCAAGATTTATTGCAAAGAGCAAAACAACAAAGCTTCCACTGTGTGAAAAGGGACCCGAGCGGTTTACCACTGCTGGCTGGGGTAGCCTGCTTTTATTCTCTTATCTGGACCCACCCACATCCTGCTGATTGGTAGAGCCCAGTGGCCTGTTTTGACAGGGCACTGATTGGTGCCTTTACAATCCTTGAACTAAATACAAAGGTTCTCCACATCCCCATCAGATTAGTTAGATACAGAATATGGACACAAAGGTTCTCCAAGGTCCCACCGGAGCAGCTAGATACAGAGTGT
Organism: Homo sapiens; assembly: GCF_000001405.40. NCBI lineage: Eukaryota > Metazoa > Chordata > Mammalia > Primates > Hominidae > Homo > Homo sapiens. The sequence goes on along the minus strand of NC_000007.14, from coordinate 113,593,925 downwards.
CGATTGGTGCACTCACAAACCCTGAGCTAAACACAGGGTGCTGATAGGTGTGTTTACAAACCTTGAGCTAGATACAGAGTGCCGATTGGTGTATTTACAATCCCTGAGCTAGACATAAAGATTCTCCACTTCCCCACCAGAATGGAGCCCAGCTGGCTTCACCCAGTGGATCCCGCACCGGGACTGCAGGTGGAGCTGCCTGCCTGTCCCGCGCCATGCGCTCACACTCCTCAGCCGTTGGGTGGTCGATGGGATTGGGCGCCGTGGAGCAGGGGGCGGCGCTCCTCGGGGAAGTTCGGGCTGCACAGGAACCCGCGGAGGCGGGGGAAGGCTCAGGCATGGCTGGCTGCGGTCCGGAGGCCTGCCCCGCGGGAAGGCAGCTAAGGCCCGGCGAGAAATCGAGCGCAGCGCCGGTGGGATGGCACTGCTGGGGGACCCAGTACACTCTCCGCAGCCGCTGGCCCGGGTGCTAAGTCCCTCACGGCCCGGGGCCAGCAGGGCCGGCCGGCTGCTCCGAGTGCGGGCCCGCCAAGCCCACGCCCACCCGGAACTCCAGCTGGCCCGCAAGCGCCGCGCGCAGCCCCGGTTCCCGCTCGCGCCTCTCCCTCCACACCTCCCTGCAAGCTGAGGGAGTGGGCTCCGGCCTTGGCCAGCCCAGAAAGGGGCTCCCACAGTGCAGCGGTGGGCTGAAGGGCTCCTCGAGTGCCGCCAAAGTGGGAGCCCAGGCAGAGGAGGCGCCGAGAGCTGCCAGTACGCTGTCACCTCTCAATTGTCCCCTGCTAGAATAACAGAGTAATTGATAATCATGGCCATAAGAGGGGTGGGGGGGCAGAGTCAGGAATTTCTGCACTATGTGGCACAAGGAGGTAAGTGACAATCTTGAAGTCCTAACTTCCACTGTTCTAGAAAGTATAGTGGTGATTTGTGTGCAAAGATCGAAATTTTTTAAAAGTACCAAGTTTCTGAAATTCATTAAAATATCTTTATTAATTAAAAAATATAACTAACAAATATGTATTTCACCAAGGCCCTTCACTTCTTTCTATTTGTGGAGAAGAGCTGTGTGAAAATTATTAGGGTATACTACAAAGTATTTAGGACTCAGAAATTGCCCCAAGGTAATTTATTCAAGTTGGAGCTAAACCTTTTGGAATAGCACGTTATCCCATCAGTTTATGTGGATTATTAAATTTAATTCTCAAAACAATATTATGCAACATAATATTCTTTATTAAACTATTTGTGATAATGAAACTGAGGCATGGAGAAGTTACACCCCCTTAGCAAGAAGCAGATCCAAAAACTAAATCCAGGCAAACTATTCAGAGTCATAGTGCAGCCTTCCTCACATGATAGAATCTGAAATGCTACTCAGCTCCTGAACGAATGAAAGTTGGCCTTGAAATCAGCGTTTACAAGGTAGGAGTCTAAGGAGACATCACTGACCTTGACTTCTATTTCTAATTGAAAATAAAATGCAGCTATAATCACCTCTATTGATTAAAACTTCCCTCTACAGTTTGGCTGCATATTCTCGAAAGATAGACTCGGTAAAGTGCACTGAGTTGACAAACTACACATAATCAAGAGATATTTTCTCACCTTAGAGATTTTCTATATGATGAAGTTAATAAATTCCATAGGCTTGCAAATAAAAAGCATTAGAAGTATTTTCTCATTAAGAATTTATACCTAGTTAATGGTAATAAAGAAAACACATTAGCATGATATTTATGTGAATGTTGCATGTCTTTCTAAGAAGATTTTATCACCTTTACGATCATCAAGTGTAATAATAATGTGACTTTAAAATCCTCTGCTTGCTATTTCTGTGTTTAACTTTTAAACTGAAAACATACTAGATAAAAAGGACAGGCCGAGCGTGGTGGCTCACACCTGTAATCCTAGAACTTTGAGAGGCCGAAGTGGGCAGATCACTTGAGGTCGGGAGTTCAGGACCATCCTGCCCATCATGGTGAAATCCGGTCTCTACTAAAAATACAAAAATTAGCCAGGCATAGTGGCGGGTGCCTGTAATTCCAGCTAGTTGGGGGGCTGAGGCAGGAGAATTGCTTGAACGCAGGAGGCGAAGGTTGCAGTGAGCTGAGATCGTACCACTGCACTCCAGCCTCAGTGACAGAGTGAGACTCTGTCTCAAAAAACGAACAAAAAGGAAAGTATGAAACCATACTGTGTTACCATTTTATAAACTTTCAGATATCTGACACAATAGAAATAGCAAGTTTTTTTTTCTTTCTTTCTTTTTTTTTTTTTTTTGAGATAGAGTCTCACACTCCACCCAGACTGGAGTGCAGTGGGGGAATCACAGCTCACTGCAGCCTTGACCTCCTGAGCTCAATCAATCCTCCCATCTCAGCCTAGCCCTAGTAGCTGGAACTACAGGCATGTGCCACCACACTTGGTTACCTGGCTATTTTTTTTTTTAATATTTTGTAGAGATGTGATCCCACTGTGTTGTGCAGGTGCCCAGGATGATCTCACTCTCCTGGCCTCAAAGGATTCTTCTGCCTGGGCCTCCCAAAGTGCTGGAATTATGGGCATGAGTCTCAGTGCCCAGAGAGTTTTATTTGAATTTTTTCTAATTTTATAGCCTATCAAGGTAAGTTATAAAATAAGCAGCTAAAATACTGCAATTTGAGGAACAGAAATTGCTCTCTAGAAGTGTGTGTGTGGTACCCAGCCAAACTCTTTGATAAATTATTGTCACATTTCATCTGTCTATGCTGATGTCATAGACACAAACTCCATCACGGTGATTCTTTAAGTGTCTTGGTGATTCTTTTATGTATGAGAGACAAAGTTTGGCATTAAAACGTAAAGTCATGAGAAGAAAATCATCCATGGCAAAGTTTAAGAACGTCTTTTTGAAGCATTGCTTGTATATATGTTTGTAACATATAAGCATATTCTAAAATATCCTTGGTAAGATCGTTACCAAGGCATATATTTTACACCCTTTACATTTACACTTACATTTACATTGTGTTGTTATCTTCATTCTTTTAAAAGTAATTTGAATGATGTAAAAGACAATAAGATAATATGCCAAATTTTCATGGCTAGCAAAATAGGTTGCATTAGTTAAGAAAACTTCCTTTCCATGCCTGGTTCTAATGGAGTTGTAAGTCTTTGTTCGAGAGCTTTATTTGGTGATTTTGCCTATGATTGGTTCTGTCCTTGTAATCTAAAAGTCTGTAGGGATAAGAATGCCTTCAAATGTCTGTGTTATTCGACAATAACTCTTTGATCCCCAAATGATTTTTCATGGGTTATACGTGACCTGACATGCATATGATGGGTGTTCGCTATTTGTTTGCCTTCTTGCCTGGGACAAAAGATAATCTGACACGCACTAATGACATTTTCAAAATGGTCTAGGACTTATTTTTGGACTTATTGTTATGGAATTTGAAGAGATTGAGGTTTCAAATGCGCTTTCCTTTTTTTAAATCCCTTTTCTGAACCCAGTCTTCAGAGTCCATTTCATGCTCTTATCAAATTTTTATCATTACCTTGAGGTAAAAATACATGAACACATACACACATGTACACACACACACTCACACATATCAGGGAGGCTATTTTTTTTAATGAATGGTCATTGAAATATTTGACTTTTTAAAGTGTGTACATTTGTTACTTTGATAAAAATTAAAGAAAAACTAATAGTCTTAGGCTCCAATAATAAAAATCTTGATTATAGGAAAAAATAAAACTAAGGAATGCCAGTTATTTTGTTGGCATTTTTGGCAATTTAATAAGAAGTAATTATTTTGTTATCAAAGAATGCTACATTTCTAAAACACTATTTTTATGAACTAGGACATTTACTTTTGATTCTTTAAATGTTCAGGGAATATTCTTTATATATGCTGAAGCCACTTCCCACTTTCTTGAAGATTATTTCAAAAAATTTGTATTGACTGCCTCCTTTGTGTAAAGCACTTTGGAGAATACAAAAATGAATAAGACATAGCCCATATCCTTAAGATGCTTAGAGGGTAGCAGATCCTAAGGGGGACACGGAAGAACTAAGCTACAGGAAAGAGTGATAGGTGATATGCTGTAGATAAGGGATCAGCAAACTGAAACTCCTACAGATGCCTAACAGGAAACATAAATGTGTGACTTGCTCACAGAAAGATAATGGGGAGGGGTGAGGCCTGTGGATGTTCTGGGAGTCCACGTGCTGCTTAAAATTTTTCAGAGACATTAAAAAAAAAAAAACTGTGCCTGCCAAAGGAAATGTAATTATTGTTATATAAAAGCTAAAATGCTTTGGGAAGTGTCTGGGTGATCGCACTCTCACAGTACACACACACACACACACACACACACACACACACACACAGTATATAGTTTATATACATATATACATTGTATATGTACATATATATACAATATGTGTATAAAACATAATAAAGAGCATTAATATTTATGGCACTGAGAAAGGTGACACATAGGATTATGAAATATTTTGATGGTAGGCCAGAAAATATCAATTCAACTCACATATGACTTGTATATTTTGTTTTACCAGAATAGTTATTTTATGGAAATAATGTATAGTACACTACTATACATTAGTAGTGATGTGTCTGCTCCCCCTTTGCCTTCTTCTATGATTGGAAGCTCCCTGAGGCCTCTCCAGAAGCAGATGCCAGCACCATGCTTCCTGTAAAGCCTGCAGAACCATGAGCCAATTCTTCTTTTCTTGTAAGTTACCCAGTCTCAGGTATTTCTTTATGGCAGTGCAGGCCTAATACAGAAGAGTTACCTCCTCTCTCATCACAGTTACTACATTTCCATGAATGTGTTTCTTAAATATATTAGTGATTTTATAAGATGCTTAATAATGTTCATTCAATTTGGGTATATTATCAACTATAATATCTAGGTTTTAAAAAGTTAAGTGATGTTTCAAATGTTAAGTAATATTTTCTTCATTAAGTTTTGGCCTTTTATTCAGGACTTTACATTTATCCCTTTTTGCTTAGTTTGTTTAATTTAGCTGTAACTACGGGATTTTGTTTACTAAATTGTCATATATAATACCCCCAAATTAAACACATTTTTATTACGTTAAGAATAGGCAACTGATTGTCTTTATTTACTTTAAATCCCTTAGAGATTTGAGAGAGTAGTCTTGCATTTGAAAGGTACAGAATATCTAAATATTTCCACAAATAATTGGAAAAAACATAAGCTGCATGGAACAAAATCCCTGTGCTACATCTCAAGTAAGCTCCATAATGGTATCATCTTTTCAGCATAATCTTTGTGCACTTAGGCCATTACAGAAGATGTATAACAAGTCTTTTTCATTTTGTGGAATATAAAATGTCAAGGTCAGATCTGTGGCAGGCATGAGGTGGGAGGAAAGTAAAAAGTAAAAGATTTTTCCAGTAATTTTATTCCCTTTTATAGATTAGCTTCAACAACCTTAAAATATGGATAAGTTATATAAAATGTTTCATTTTGAAATGGACAGTCTTGATTCTCTGACACAGGCATTGTGAGAGTCCCACCTAGGCTTTAAATGAGGTGTGAGAGAATTTTATTCTCCAGTTGATAAGGATCAGTGGGTTGTTTTTATAAGGAACACAGTTGCATTTCAACAGATCTAAGCTGCATACAAGTTTCAGCCTTTTCTTTCTATATTATGGTCACTGCAAACAACCAATTCATTAACATTTTTTATTCTTAACTTTGCACAGGCTACTGTATATTTCACTGCAGGGAATATTGTGATCAATAAAATTCAGCCTCTCCCCTTAGGAATCTTATATTCTAGTAAAAGCAGCAAGACAATGAATAAATACATATTTTTAGGGCCGTGAAACTACTCTCTGTGATAGTAGGATGGTGGATACATATCATCATATATTTGTAAAAACTCATAGAATGTACCATACCAAGAGTGAATCCTAATGTAAATTATGAACTTTAAATGATGATGATGTGTCAGTGAAAGTTCATGGATTATAACAAATATACTGCTTTGGTGCTGGATGTTGATAGTGGGGAAGGCTGGGGTAGGGACCTCGGTATATTAGACCTCTGTATTTTTCTGCTCAATTTTTCTGTGAACCTAAAACAGCTCTGAAAAGTAAAGTTTATAAAAATACATGTAATAAAATGTTTTGTAAATGTCACCAGAAAAAATTCTATAAGGTTGTATGTACTTTACGGAAGGAAGAGTTGGGAAGAGTTCGTGATCGAAGGGGACTCTAACGAATGGGTAGGACTGATAGGCATTCCAGCTAGAGAAGATAGGACGAGCAAAAGCTTGGCAGCAAGACATTTGAAGGGCTTTGGGGTAGGAACAAGGGTTCTAGATGCCTTTTACCCACCATTCCTCTGAGGTAATGGCCTGTGGAATACACAGACAAGAATTTGTAGCCAAAGGAGAAACAAAGCACACTTTATTAATCTGAGCACTCATCCTAACATCCCAGAAAAATGCATGTTTCCAGCAAACTGTATTGGAAAACACAAGGCCAGAATGAGTCTTATTCCTCCCACATTTTATTCCCAATTCAATTATCAGCCCATTTGGAGGTGAAAAATATAGAGCAGAGTGCTAATGCAAATAATTGTTTTACTTCCATTCAGTTATTGTGCCCCTAAATGGCAGGTGATCTTCTGAATGCCAGGCTCTCCCTTTTGTCCCCACAACTCTGTATTACGTCCTGGAAAGAACTTTGCTCTCCCCACAGGTTTAGACAGAAGCATGAAGCAAAGTGAAGACTAGATGTTCCCATTCTCAGATTTCCTTCCAACTTGCCCCCAGTAATTCAATATTTACAAATATTTGATTTAGGTAATTCAGTATTCATATTTGATAATATTTCAATATTTCAACTATTGATACTAAATTGAATATTGAATTTTGATTTAGGGGTAAATATTGCAAATTTTTTTCCTTTTTGTGCTCACTAATCTATCTCCAGCATTGATACAGAGTTGCATATTTAAGTTCATTTTCAGAGTTGCTCTTTATGGCAATTTTCATGTACTGCACTAAAGTAAAAATATCCAATTTATCCTTTTGCCTTATGATAATTCTAGTAACTGAATTGCTATATTTTCTTAAGATGGCCAAACAGCAATGACAACAACCATTTTAAAAATCTGGTTATTTAGATTCACAGCCATAAGCATTCCTAGAGAATCCTCTAAAAAATAAAATCCTTTGCTAAAGAGACTTTTATAGGGTTAGAGTAAAATGAAAACAATTGTAAAAACAACAGACAAAAGTAATAGCACAAAAAAAATAGCTGGTTAGGACAGAGAAAATGGAACTATTATAGCATGGGCCTTTGTTTCAAAGAGGTCTGTGAAGAGAGGGCACACAGAATTAAATTAGGACAAGGACACTTCTAAAATGTGGCTTTAATGTGGAAGAAATATTATTACCTAGCTTTGGAAGAGCTGAATAGATCTGGCTAACTGAGAATATTCAATAACTATTTTAATAATTTATCATTCACATGCACACTAATAAAAGTGCCAGTGAGAATTTGTTTTCCTATATGGATTTGAGAGCCAGAAATTAGGACAAAGGGTGCATCGTACCCCAAGTAGCTTTTGCCTTATTCCACTAAATTTGTCCAATCAAGCAACCAGTCTCCTAAGCAGCCTGAAAAAAAATGAAATAATCATCCTTCACTTTTTTGTAGAGACATTATAAGTATTTTAAACAAAATGTATTCGATTGTTAAGTAGGCAAAATTTGCTCATTAAAAATGAAAAAGCATTTTAGCCATATAGATGAACAATTTGACACATAAAATATTAGAACAAAAGGCTGTTTCAAAATTTCCAAGAACATACAGATTAAACAAGTTGGCATTAGTTCAGCAGTACCAACACATAATGCAGATGTACAGATCACTGAAGGCCCTTTAACTAAATCCTGTAAACATACAATTCCTTGGTCAAGTAGTTTAGCTGACCCATGCATCTTTGGAGCCAGAGTGTATAGGCAGGCTGGAGGAATGATACAGAACAGACATGGAAAGAGGGTGGATGTCTAATAGTCGGAAGTCAGGAGAAATCAGTATCAGAGAAAGATTCTAGAGGAATATCCTATGGAGATATGCAGGCTGTCTTTACTAAAAATTCCTAGAAGAGTTCCAAAGAGCACTCTTCTTAATATTTAGCTTCATTTTCTTACAAACATCAGCTAGAGAACAAGCCTGATTGGTGAGATTGACAAACATTACTCAGTTACTGCAATTTTTGTAACTGAGCTACAAAATTTTTGAGCTAGGTAATTGAAAAATGTTTTCAAAAATATTTTCAAATACACGAACATCTTCTTTACAGCTCTTAGCACTGCTCCCCCTCTGTGACCTCACCTCAACGTATTTGTACTTTTTGTTTTTAAGAGACAGAATCTCTCTCTGTCACCCAGACTGGAGTGCAGTGGCACAATCCTTGCTCACTGTAACCGTGAACTCCTGGGCTCAACCGATCCTCCTGTCTTAGTCTCTTGAGTAGTTAGGACTATAGGCGCCCACCACCACACCTGGCTAATTTAATTTTTTTTTTTTTTTTTTTGTGGAGACAGAGTCTCGTTAAGTTGCCCAGGTTGGTTTTGAACTCCTGGCCTCAATTATCTCACCTCTGTCTCCCAGTGTTGGGATTACAGGCATGAGCCACAGTGCTCCAGCTATTTGAACTTTCATAAAGGGAACCCAGAACAGAAGAGGGATGAAAGCAATTGTGGGGCTGTGCAACACTAAAGATCAGGTGATAGGGTTCATTCAGAGTGGACATGAGAAAAGGAAATCAGTTTTGACAAGGATTTTACAATAATTGAGCTGGATGTGAAATTTAGTTGGGTGCAGGAAGAATTTTGACTGAGAAAACACCATAACCCTGAAGTTTACCTTCAGGAGTCATTGCCCTGTACCTGCTTCATCTGGGAACTCCCAGGGCCCTGGCATGCCTTTCCTCCCCAGACTATTCCAGCCATGCTCCCTTTCTTTTCTGACTTCTCCTTCTGCTTCTCATCCTCCTTCTATTGATCTTTTCTCTGATATGGAAATGGAAAGTCTTTTAGTCTCCTTTGCCTCACTTTGTGACTAAGTACATTAAGTTTGGCTTAATATGAGAGTCAACATCTCAGCAATTCAAATTCATTCTATTGTCCACCAACACTAATGACGTGTTTATTTTCTCCTAAAATTGTTTTCTCCTTAGCGTAAAAGTAACATTCATGAATTCTTTAAAAAACAAAAATCTGTTATATACCTAATATTTTATATCCTGCAATATTTTTTAAAATTTTAATGGCTGTATTGCTTTTCATTATATTCATGTATTATAGTTCAGATTATAATATTCTAAAATCATACAGTTGTAATATTATAAAAACATCCCCAAGTTTGGAGTGCGACACTTATTGATTTGTATCTCCCACATAAGAAAATAATCAGAGACAACTAGTCATAGAAAAGAGCTTTCCCATCCAAAGATAATCATAATATTATTATGAGGGGTGATATTGGGGTTTGCACAACACAGCACAGTAGCCATTCTTTGGGGTCAGGGCAACGTAAAGAGGTCCACCAACAGACCCCTTAGACCAAAGATTTCCCAATTGTGCTCCCCAAGTCTCATGTGAAGAAGACAGTAGTAGTGGGATTACTGGAAAATATTTTTAATATGTCCAACACCTTCAGCAGATATACACATAAAGGCAAAATGAACTAAGAAAAGTAGCAATGTTTTTTGGCTTTTCTAATACTAGCTAACTCATGCTGTTTAGAGTTTGTGACTGGCATTTATATGTAAGTAATTAATAAACATTTTAGAAAACAATTGCTTAAACAGTTTGAGGTAGACAAGTCTTTCATGTACTATAAAGCCTAATTATTTTCTATAATGAAAAGAAATGATTAGGAGTCACTAACTTTGGAGGAATTCTAAAATAAATACTCATAGGTTTTGGTTCAGCCTTTAAATACATTTATTTGTGAAAACTTGGCTTAGACATCTCCTGGCTGTCTTGCAGCAGGAGTGACAATGTATTTGGCCACCTGTTGCAGGAGAGAAAGCATGAGGACTGGGATTCAAGAAAATGAATGCGGAAGGGAGATGCCCAAAAAGTTTGCTTAGAATAAAAACAAAAAGTTCATCAGGTCCTGGTGGCCATGTTCACACAGTGTTTGAAACTCAGATGATTTCAGGTCACAGCACATTATATCCTTAAAAGAGCAGAAGTAATCAAGAAAATAAAAATAGTAAAGTACAAGTGATATTGTAGAAAAAGCATTTCGTTGGGTTATATTCTGGAATCTGAAAATAGGGTGACTGGGTTTTTTATTCCAGTTCCATCACTTACCAGTGATGTGATTTTGAGTAAGCTACTGAATTTCTTTGTTCTGTTGACCCCTTTATAAAAGGTGGATAATAATATTTAATTCATAATGTTCTGAGTTTTACATACCTGCTTACAACTATTAAGTACTTAAAAGGGACTTACTATGACTATACTGCTATTATTATTTTATGAATAACTTTGGAGGGTTACTTAACTTTTCTCTTTTTTTTAATGTAAAATGAGTGGCTTTGACTAGATAGTCTATTAACATCCTCTATAACTTCCTAGATGATCACTGAGATACTTTTGAAGTGCTCATGGTTTTAAAATATTTCATAAATGAGAACATACTAAAAAATAAATCTAACAGGAACTGAGTTAGTAAGACTAGGCACTCCATTTCTCAATGTGCTGAAATTTGCTTCTTCATCACTAGTGTTGTGTTTTTGTGCATTTCATCGTAAGATTACAAGTTTTTTTTTAATAAGTGAATCATCTGTATCATTTTCCTGACTTCAGAATGTCAGTCTTGGCCAGCCAATCTTCCTCATCTTGCCCATCCAAAGTTTCCATATGTTTGTGTTTACAACAAACAAATTGTTTTATGTTTAGAATAAAATAATACATTTTAAAATGTATTGTTTTTTAATTAGAAGCCTGCCCTAGATACTAGAGAGTTGGTACAACTCAATTACAAAGATTGGTAATTGCTAGGTCAAACTTACCTAGATCCTAGGCAGAGGCTGTGATAAAAGTTAGCATAGCCAGATAAGAACTGATTTCTGCTTCAGATGGGATTAAAAAAAATTCAATAGTGAGTCAGTGGTATTCTCTCTCTTTAAAAAATACCAGCATATATTTTTCTGTTTAGTGCAATGACCTATAAATGTTTTTGTGGCATTCAGCCAGGAGAGACTCAGCCATGGACTCATACATGGGGTAGTCATCAATCCTTCTTTTGCTGTCTGAATGTGAGATTTTCAAACCTCTCCAGCAGAATAAAAAGTGAAATAAATTGCCAGGTTTAAATTTAATACCTAGTTCCCATGCTGAATAATTATGGCTGTGCTGGAAACCTTGATAGAGTGAGTGGTAATGAGTAGCCCAATCTATAATGTGTAATGTATCAACTAAAACTTTAAACTGGATTCTTTCAGAAGGCTTTGCTTCTATGTGACTGTGAAATATGAAAGGCATGAGGCACCAAAACCAGAATACTAAAGTCTCAGTCCACTTCCTCCAAGAATACATACTGATGCAAACACACATACATACATAATTAAAATAACAGAATGACATTATGATTTTGTTGAGAAAATATGAGCAAACTCAAATATAAGTAATTCACAGAAATGTAGACATGAAGAGCTTTTGCATAGGGTTTCAAGGTAAAAAGGGAAAGAAGCAATACATAGTATTTTGAAATTCTCTGCATAGTAGACTCTGAAGCCAGTCTTATCTTGATACTCTCTGCTTAAAACCCTTCAGATGCTCTCCAGCACCACCGGAATGTTTATTTCCTTTAATAAGCCATGATTTCTCATCTCTCATCTTTTCATGCATGTACACATACATACACGCATGCATGCATTCACTCCATTCATTCATTCATTCATTTATCTATTATAGAAACAGGTATAAGTCTCTTCTAATGTACGAAGTAATGGGCTAAGAGTTAGGAAAACAATAGTGAACTGATAGATATACAACCTGTCTTAAAGTTTGAGTTTAATCTATTGGGAGTCATATAAATTAATCAAATAGTGACACAAAAAATGTGAAAATACATATGTAGCCAGTTCTTTGAAAGAGAGATACATGGTACATTGAATATGGGGCATTTAACATAGTCTGGAGTTTTCAGGGGGAAAAAAGCAAATACAAAAGCCCTGTTGTAGGAAGAAACATAGTACATTTGAAGAACTACAAAGGGAAAACTGGAATCTAGTGATTATGGAGGCATAAAAGAGATGGAGGTAGGTGATAAGAGAAGTAAGGTTTTGTTTTGGTATTTATCCTAAGAGTACTAGGAAGATCATTAATGTGTTTTAGGGAAGGGATTCTTTTGATCAGTTTTGTATCCTAAATCAAGAGTTGATGAATTATGGCCCACATGTCAAATCTGACCTACTGCCTATTTTATAAAGTTTTATTGCAACATAATCATATTTGTGTTCATACACTTAGCACATTCTCTATGGATGCTGTTGAGCTAAATGGTGGAACTGACTAGCTGCAAGAGATTTCAAGTCCTTCAGAGCTGAAAATACTTACCATCTGTCCCTTCACAGAAAAACTTTGATGACCCATATTCTAGAATATTACTGTGGCTTTTAGATAGAGAATAAATTTGAGGAGGCAAGAACAGATATGGAAATATCGATTTAAAGAATGTTGTTTTTAGTAGCACAAGCCAGACCTGATAGCTTGAACTAATTTAATTGATGGTGATATAGAGGTATTTATGGATATGAGAAAGATTTAAGAAGTAAACTGGGCAGAAATTGATGAATGAAGAGGGGGCTTTAAGGATGAGTTTTAGGTTTATGTCTTGTACTGATAGATGGATGATAATGTCATTTGCTGAAAGTGTATCAGATTTAGGAGGAAGATTATCAATTTAATTTCTGACATGTTGAGTTTTAGTTGTCTTGAAAGCATCCAAGAAGAGATGTAAAGTTCTTAGTTGGGGTTATAGCTTAGATAATAAATCTGAGCTAGACATAAACATGTGTGATCATAAGAAAAGCCATTGGTGTGAATGAGATTGCCTTCAAAATATTGCCTACAAAGAGAAATGAAGTACAAGTCTTAAGGAACTCCAGTGCTTCTGAGCTAGGTAGAATGAGATGTCCTGCAAACAGAACTGGAGAAGGAATATGTTACAAAAGTGGAAAGAAAAAGTGTTTCTTTCAGAGAAGACTACAGAAAAGAATGTTTTAAGAAGAGCACAATGCTTAACTGTGGGCAAGCACTGATCAAAAAGTCCATTGAATGTATGACATCAGAAATTTTTGGTGGCTTAAGGGAGATTTGCTAAGTGCAGTGATGGATGCTGAAGCCAGACTCAGGTAAGATCCAAATAGAAATTGAAAATATATAGACAGGTTGTATAAGCAATGCTTTAAAACTGTATGTGAAGAAGGAGAAATATTTGGTATCTCCATCCCACCGAGGCTAACTGGTAAACTTAGGGAACCCTTTTTTTCTTGCAAAGATTTCTATGATATTCCACCTTTACTCACAAGACTGTATTAGGGGCTTCTCTCATAAATTCCCACATTATTAACTCTTTATAACTTATTAACTCTAATATTGTCACATATTTATACTGTTTGTCATTGATAATCTCTTCCTATTCAGTTGTAACCCACTTGAATGGTAGTGTTAAGTCATTTCTACAGTTGTACCCTTAGCACTTAGCTTTCAGTATCAGTTTATTTTAAAAGCAGAATAACAAAGAAAGTAACAGACTTCCCAGAATCGTGTGTGTGTGTGTGTGTGTGTGTGTGTGTGTGTGTACCCAGATCATTTATACATTGGTTTTGTTTTGAAGTTTTCATTTATTTATTATTAATTTTCTTTGTTTTTATTTGACATAAAATTGTCCATATTTGTAGCATAGAATATGGTGTTTTGACATGTGTATACAGTATAGAATGGCTAAATTAAGTTAATTAACTATCCATTACCTCACATACTAACGTTTTTATTGTGGTGAGAACATTTAAAATCTACACTCAGCAATTTTTAGTATACAACACATTGTCATTAACTATAGTCACCATGTTGTACAGTAGATCTGAATTATTCTTCCTGTCTAAATTAAATTTTGTATCCCACCATCACCAGACTGCTGCTACTCCCTGCTTCTATAACTTCAAATTTTTTTAGATTTCATTCACACAGTATTTGTCCTTCTGTGTCTGGTTTATCTTACTTAGCTTAATGTCCTCTATGTTCATATGTGTTGTCACAACTGATAGGATTTCCTTCTTTTATAAGGCTAAATAATGTTCAGTTGTGTATATGTATCACACTTTCTTTATCCATTCATCCATTGATGGACACTTAGGTTGATTCCATATCTTGGCTATTGTGAATAATGCTGCAATGAACATGGGAGTGCACATATCTCTTCCACGTACTGACTTTGTATTGATCCAACTTACTAATCCAGCATGCTTTGAATATGTACACAGAAGTGGAATTAATAGAGCATACAGTAGTTCTATTTTTAATTTTTTTGTGGAATCTCCATACTGTTTTCTATAATGGCTATACTACTTTACATTCCCACCAACAATGTATAAGTGTTCCTTTTTCTACACATCTTCACCAACACATATTTTACCTTTTTTTGACAGTAGACATTCTAACAGGTATGAAGTGAATCTCATTGTGGTTTTAATTTACATTGTTTTCTGGTGATTAGTGATGCTAAGTATTTTTCATATACCTGCTGGCCATTTGTATATCTTCCTTTGAGAAATGTTTTTTCAGGTACTTTGTCCATTGAATCAGGTTATTTATTATTTTGCTGTTGAGTTGTCTGAGTTCCTCATATGTTTTAGATATTAACTCCTTGTCAGATGTATAGTTTGCAAATATTTCCTCCCATCGCGTAGGTTGTTGCTTAATTCTGTTGATTGTTTCCTTTCATATATTGATTTACATTTAAGCCTAAAAGAAAATGCTCAGTCATAAGAAAATAATTAGCCTAAATTTTTTTGTTTTAACCCAAATATTATTAAGGAGACTGTCTTTTTATTGTTGGTATAACAAAAATTATGAAATTAGCTAAAATTTAAATCCTTAAAATTTAAAATACTTAATAACACACTAATGATTGGTAATTACCATTGATTAATTCTATGAAAAGTATTCTTTTTCTCAGTTGGACTAATTATTAGGAGCAGAACTCCCCATATGTATCCTTTAATAGGCTGAAGCATGTACATTTTTCCCAAATATGAAAATTAAAACTTTATTTGACATAAATTCTTTAGGCTTTTTCAGCTGAGGTCAAGTATATGAAAAATCAGTTTAAAAGCATATTTCATACAAATCTAGAAGTGACAATACAGAAAGCAGTATCTTTCTGTAAAAACTTACAAATTGCCAACCAAGTAATAGGGTAGATACTGTTTTTGAAGGCAAGGTTTTTTATACTGGAGAATAGCATATTTTTTTTTTTTTGAGACGGAATTTCACACTTGTTGCCCAGGCTGGAGTGCAATGACACGATCTTGGCTCACTGCAACCACCATCTCCTGGGTTCAAGCGATTCTCCTGCCTCAGCCTCCTGAGTAGCTGGGATTACAGGCATGCACCACCACACCCAGCTACTTTTATATTTTTAGTAGAGATGGGGGTTTCACCATGTTGGCCAGGCTGGTCTCGAACTCCTGACCTCAGGTGATCCACCCACCTCGGCCTCCCAAAGTACTGGAATTACAGGCGTGAGCCACCGCAGCTGGCCGAATAACATGATTTTTAACTGCAGGAAATTTACTTTCTCTTTATACTTTATATTAGAAGAATAGAAGTCATCTACATATCAGCTATCACTTCAGATATGAGGAATCATAGTGGACTCCCAGGCTACTGCTAGAAATATCACATAAATTCCTTTTCAGAATGATTTGGCCTGATTCATATAGAAGGCAATGGTGTGGCTGCTTATGCAATTAGGAGTAAATTAGGACTAAATTAGGACTTTCCCAGCCACAAACAGCACTAAAAAAGCTAGAGAAGCACCCCCGATTCTCCTTGCGGTTGGTGAATACCCAATGCAATGCCTTGGATTCTGAAGTCAATTATGCCCTGCTTCAAGGAGTTCTCAGTAATCTTATTAAACATTGACAAAACCATGTTATAGGGGAAGCATTTCTAAGGTGAGAAATCAGATTTGTAACTTTCAGAAAACAGAATAAACTCATTTCAGGTGTGATAAGTAGGATTATTTATTGGGACATATTTGTGCCTTCAAGGTAAAATACTTCAAGCAGGAAAACCAGGACTGTTGATTCCTTTCTATTTTTTTAGGTTTCTTGTAGAACTATTTCAATTAAGATATTAAAAGAAATGACAAATTTATTTGAATATC
Organism: Homo sapiens; assembly: GCF_000001405.40. Taxonomy (NCBI): domain Eukaryota; kingdom Metazoa; phylum Chordata; class Mammalia; order Primates; family Hominidae; genus Homo; species Homo sapiens. The sequence continues at coordinate 113,577,462 of NC_000007.14, read as the reverse complement.
TGTATACTAGGCTTTTTCAAGTTTTATTTTAAATGAACAAATGTGTGTAATAAAATTTCTTTGTTTCCATGTAATTTGATATGTCAAAGGGAATTGAGAAAATCATATTCTATAGTGTTATTTTTACTTTTGAGCTTTCTATTGTTAAATTAGAATTTATATATAACATCAATTTATGATGATGTTAGGTGTTTAGAAATATTTTCATGGAACAAACAGCAGATGTTGAAATAAATTATAAAAAAGATATTCACTTTACTACTAGAAAGGACTTATTGATCTACAGTTATAAAACTCATCAGTGCAATTTTTAAATAAGTAAGAAAAATTCAGCTATGTTTCTCAGGTAAAGCATTTAATTAAACGCAGTGTTTAACACTTAAAATTTATCAGTGAGTGATTTATAGGAAAAACTGTGTAATATGAAAATCATAATATCAGTTAAAGTAAAGCAACTTCGTACTTAAAGTAAGTGACTACTTGAAAATTTTTGCCAATATTAAGAGTTCATAATACATTATAATCAGTACCTGATGCTAATATATAAATATTTAAATATATTTATTGAAAATCTACCCATTAAAAACTTAAAATTAAAATATATTTCTTTAAAAATTCTTTATTAAATGTCATATTCAATAAAATTAAAAACATCTCATATTTCATGAAAATTTAAAAAATCTTTTCCAGGTTTACTGTATTTAAAATGGAAAAGTTAATTTATAATTATGTTTTTTTCAAAAGCTATTCAATAATATCAAATAAAGTAGGTCAATGTCAAATTTATTAATGATAAAAATGTGTTAATACAAATTCCAATATAAGTATTAAAAATATAATTGAAAGACATCACATGGATAAGTAAAATAAAGTACTTTACACAACCTTAAAAGTTTTCAGTACTTAAAGTTCCCATTGCATATCCAACACTGAGTTCTACAACACATTTGAACATCACCAGTGCTGTAGAAAAAAACACAGCCTCTGTTTTTAAATGGCCTCCGTCCAGTGGTAGAGGCAGAGCTAAATTTAGGAATGATTATATCAGCCATAGGGATTATATCAAAAGCTCTAGAGTACACAGGAGGCCTGACATTTGAAAAGATTTTAAATATAGCATGCTATGTTCTCTTGTTGCCATATATAGAGATGCCATAAGATAGTTGTCTAATTGCAAGAGAAGTAATTGTATATTTTAGTGTGAAAAGTCTTACAGTTTGGAATATGGGAAAATACAATTTAAGACTTGCAGCTCCACACATGCAATGCATAATAAATGTCAAGAAAACTTGTCAAGTAAATTAAAAGGCAAACTGTTGAAATTTTCCTGTTTAGAAAACCATTGATAAATTGTCTTTAATTTTCATTTAGCATTTTCTAACCTACACCGGTATTCTATTGTCTTCCTACAGTGTTATTTTAATTAAATTCCTAAGTGGGAAAAGTATTTTTGAAGAATTGCTGAATTTAAATACTGTGAAAATGAAACAAAATTTACATAAATGAAGCAGATGGTAAGAATAGTAATAGTATTTGAGAAAAATAATTTTCTGAAATTTGGCTACAAGTTTTCTAACAAAAAACCAATAATTTTAGGTAACTTTATTTTTATATAATTTCATGGTTACATGGATATTGCAGAAATACAAAGCTTTCCTTTATATTATGTTTATATTTACATTTAATATAAATACAATATAAATATTTGTTTAAATATAAACATTTCAGTGTAAATGTTTAATATAAATATTTATATAAATCTAAATATTTAATATAAATATAATAAATACATATTTATATTTCCTTGATCCAGATTTATCAATTGTTCACATTTTATCTATTTTCTACATATGTATATTTAGATAATTATAGATTTATATGTACTTAAATGCATGCCCATTATTTTGTGTAGATCATTTGAGAGTAAGTTTAGAGATATCATGCTTTACCCCTATGTAATTCACTGTGAATTTCCTACAAACAAGGACATTTTTTTTTCTGAGACAGAGTCTCACTGTGTCACCCAGGCTGGAGTGCAGTAGTGTGATCATGGCTTACTGCAGCCTCGACCTCCTGCACTGAAGTGATCCTTCAACCTCACTGAGTAGCTGACACTACAGGTGCACGCTGCCATGCCTGGCTAATTTTTTATTTTTAGTAGAGACAAGATCTTGCTATGTTGCCCTGATTGGTCTCAAATATCTCAGGTCAAGTGATCCTCCTGCCTCGGACTACCAAAGTGCTGGGATTTGCCTGGCCAACATTTTCTTAATGTAACCACAGTAAAGTAATCAAAATCAGTAAATTTACCATTGTTATGATTCTACCAGCTAACTCATAGTCCAAATTCAAGTTTTATCAATTATCAAAGTATAATCCTGTATAGCTATTTCTTTGTCTGGTCTAGGATCCAATCCAGGATCACAAAACAGTCCGTTGTTTTGTCTTTTCAGGTGCATATATTTGGACATTTTGTCCTCTTTCTTCATCTTTCCTGACCTTGATACTTACAAAGAATATGGGCAAATTATTTTGTGTAATATCCCATAGTTTGGATTTGAATATTTCCTCATTATTAGATGGATACTTATATATTTTTGGCAGAAGTATCACATATTTGGTTTTGCTTTCTTTCCAATGAAACTTGTCAGGAGGCACACGATGTTGATTTGTCATAATATTGTTAATTTTGACCTTGATCACTTTGATAAGATGGTGTCCACTGTGTGCATACTATAAAGTTACTTCTTTCTCCTTTGTAATTAACAACTAATCTGTGTGGAAAGGTTTTTAACATGAAACAATTATTCGGTTATTCATCAAAATTTTACCCACTATTTGTATCTATTGATGATGTTTTAGCTCCATCATTCCTTTGACATTGTTTGTATGCTTTCTAACATAAAAAGGAGATTTTTCTTCTTATTATTGAGTCAGTATATATTTATGAATATCGACTTTATTCACTATTGTCCATTAATCTCATTATTTCGTTCAATGTACAAATGTCCCAGATTTGGCAAGCTGAAGCACATTCAGGCAATTTTCTATGTTCCTTTGACACAGCCTCATTATTATTTGAGTATTTCCTTACTTTCTGGCACAAGAATTTATAGGTTTATTTTGAAATTTTTTTGCACCTCATCCTAGAATTAGCTACTTCTCTTTTTAAATATTTTTTAATTATACTTTAAGTTTTAGGGTACATGTGCACAACGTGCAGGTTTGTTACATATGTATACATGTGCCATGTTGGTGTGCTGCACCCATTAACTCATCATTTACATTAGGTATATCTCCTAATGCTATCCCTCCCCCCTCCCCGCACCCCATGACAGGCCCCAGTGGGTGATGTTCCCCTTTCTGTGTCCAAGTGTTCTCATTGTTCAATTCCCACCTATGAGTGAGAACATGCAGTGTTTGGTTTTTTGTCCTTGCAATAGTCTGCTGAGAATGATGGTTTCCAGCTTCATCCATGTCCCTACAAAGGACATGAACACATCCCTTTTTATGGCTGCATAGTATTCCATGGTGTTTATGTGCCACATTTTCTTAATCCAGTCTATCATTGTTGGACATTCGGGTTCATTCCAAGTCTTTGCTATTGTGAATAGTGCCACAATAAACATACATGTGCATGTGCCTTTATAGCAGCATGATTTATAATCCTTTGGGTATATACCCAGTAATGGGATGACTGGGTCAAATGGTATTTCTAGTTCTAGATCCTTGAGGAATCACCACACTGTCTTGCACAATGGTTGAACTAGTTTACAGTCTCACCAACAGTGTAAAAGTCTTCCTGTTTGTCCACATCCTCTCCAGTAGCTGTTGTTTCCTGACTTCTTAATTATCACCATTCTAACTGGTGAGATGGTATCTCATTGTGGTTTTGATTGGCATTTCTCTGATGGCCAGTGATGATGAGCATTTTTTCATGTGTCTGTTAGCCAACAACTGCATAAATGTCTTCTTTTGAGAAGTATCTGTTCATATCCTTCGCCCACTGGTTGATGGTTTTTTTTGTTTTTTTTTCTTGTAAATTTGTTTGAGTTCTTTGTAGATTCTGGATATTAGCCCTTTGTCAGATGAGTAGATTGCAAAAATTTTCTCCCATTCTGTAGGTTGTCTGTTCACTCTGATGGTAGTTTCTTTTGCTGTGCAGAAGCTCTTTAGTTTAATTAGATCCCATTTGTCAATTTTGGCTTTTGTTGCCATTGCTTTTGGTGTTTTAGTCATGAAGTCCTTGCCCATGCCTATGTCCTGAATGGTATTACTTAGGTTTTCTTCTAGGGTTTTTATGGTTTTAGGTCTAACATTTAAGTCTTTAATCCATCTTGAATTAATTTTTGTTTAAGGTGTAAGGAAGGGATCCAGTTTCAGGTTTCCACATATGGCTTGCCAGTTTTCCCAGCACCATTTATTAAATAGGGAATCCTTTCCCCATTTCTTGTTTTTGTCAGGTTTGTCAAAGATCAAATGGTTATAGATGTGTGGTATTAATTCTGAGGGCTCTGTTCTATTCCATTGGTCTGTATCTCTGTTTTGGTACCAGTACCATGCTGTTTTGGTTACTGTAGCCTTGTAGTATAGTTTGAAGTCAGGTAGTGTGATGCCTCCAGCTTTGTTCTTTTGGCTTGGGATTGTCTTGGCAATGTGGGCTCATTTCTGGTTCCATATGAACTTTAAAGTAGTGTTTTCCAATTCTGTGAAGAAAGTCATTGGTAGCTTGATGGGGATGGCATTGAATCTATAAATTACCTTGGGCAGTATGGCCATTTTCACGATATTGATTCTTCCTATCCATGAGCATGGAATGTTCTTCCATTTGTTTGTGTCCTCTTTTATTTCGTTGAGCAGTGGTTTGTAGTTCTCCTTGAAGAAGTCCTTCACATCCCTTGTAAGTTGGATTCCTAGGTATTTTAATCTCTTTGAAGCAATTGTGAATGGGAGTTCACTCATGATTTGGCTCTCCGTTTGTCTGTTATTGGTGTATGAGAATGCTTGTGATTTTTGTACATTGATTTTGTATCCTGAGACTTTACTGAAATTGCTTATCAGCTTAAGGAGATTTTGGGCTGAGGTGATGGGGTTTTCTAAATATACAATCATGTCATCTGCAAACAGGGACAACAATTTGACTTCCTCTTTTCCTCATTGAATACCCTTTATTTCCTTCTCCTGCCTGATTGCCCTGGCCAGAACTTCCAACACTATGTTGAATAGGAGTGGTGAGAGAGGGCATCCCTGTCTTGTGCCAGTTTTCAAAGGGAATGCTTCCAGTTTTTGCCCATTCAGTATGATATTGGCTGTGGGTTTGTCATAAATAGCTCTTATTATTTTGAGAGCTACTTCTCTTAAGAGTGATGCTTCCTTTTAGTCAAGAGTAATATTTAGAATAAAAAGGTCTGAGTACCAAGTGTGCTCCAGTTCTCTAAGTGTGCTTATGACTGACACATGTAGAACCTTTTAGTTAATAAACACACAACTATACACACTGTTACACATATTCAAACACACACACACATATACAATCTATAGCTGTCTGTCTCTCTTTCTAAAGGCATACATTTCTACTGATACCTCCATTTCCAATACAAGCTCATAGAATAAGACTTATTCCTCCATATTTTCTTATTAGTAACTCATAGTGGTTTTATAATTCTGCCCTCCCACCAGAATGTTTCAGAGTTAATCCTTGCCAGCATTTTATATTGTTATTCTTTTATTATTTTAGCCATTCCAGTGGTTAAATAGTGCTGTCTTTGTGTTTTAACTGACATTTCTCAAGTGTCTAATAATGTTGAACACCTTTTTTATATGCTTGTTGGCTATTGGCGTATTTTCTTTGTGAAATATCTGTTCATGTTTTTGCCCACTTTCACCAGTCATCTTTTTAATTATTGTGTTGTTTTGTATGAGTGCATTAAATTTTTGTATTCTGTGTAGTGTTCTTTTTCAGCTGTCTCATACTTTATTATAGCCTGTGGTTGACTCTTCCAATTTCTTGATTAGTAGAAGTTCTTTCTTTTCTTTTTAATGAAGTCTAATTTATCAACTTTTGTCTTAATGTTGAAGGTTGTTGTTATTTGTGTTCTTCTTTAGAAATTTTTGCCCACCTCCTTTTTCTTGTTTAAGCAGATAAAGGCACTTTTCCTTTTTCTTCAGATTTTATGTTTAACTTTGTGAAACATCTCAAAATATTTTTTACATATGCTATAAAATAAGGAGTCATGCTTTCCCCCCATATAAATTGTTCCAGCACCATTTGTTGGAAATCCTTTCTTATTCCTCTGTTGTATCGCTAGGGATGTCTGTTTAAAATCAATTGACTATATATGTATGAGTCTATTTCTCAATTCTATTCTTCTGTGAACAATGCACTCTTTTGACTACTTTACTGTTATTATAAAAATTGAAGTCGGATTAATTTCTCCAAATTTGTTCTTCTTCAAGATTGTTTGGCTATTTCATGTCCATCACATTTCCATATGAATTATAAAGTCATCTTGTTAATTTCTATTTTTAAAAAATTTGCTAGGATTCACCTTACCTGGTCATTTTCCATTTCTATTACCTTTCATTTTCTAACAAGAAGAGAAACAACAAAAAGTAAAACAAGAATTACTTTTACTTATATCTAAATTTAAGGAAATTTTTTTTCAATGTGTCCTAAGACCTTTGAGTAAAGTCTTCTTTAAGTTTTTCAAATTTTATACAGTGGTAGGAACACATATTGGTTGGAAAATGTGAAGGTATCATAGAAAGTCTAAATATCACTGGCAGTCATCTGTAACTTTTGTTTTCTCAATGTAATTTCAGAGGCAGAATAGTTTGTGCCAATATTATTTTTAAACTGCTTTCTAAGTTTATAGAAAATGTGATTGAAAAATTGTTTTTAAGCAATATTTTTGACAGAATTAAATTTGGACTGTTATGTTAATAATTCATTCTTCAGAATTAAGAAGTTAATTCAATAAATAAAACAGAAAGGTATTTAAGCAAGATAACTTTTTCATATAAATAACCTTGTGATTTCAATAATCCTCTTGGTTAATATGTGGGTCTCAAATTATATGAGAACCCAAACAAACAAACAACACTAGTCAGCAAAAGTCTATACAATAACTATCCATAATGTGTTTCACTTGATAGGATCTTTTCCCCAAATTTTCTGTTCCCAATACTGCTAAGGAAAGTGTCTTTTTAAATGAGGACCTAAAAACTTAGATCAAAACTTCAAAAAGATAGGGATGCCATGAGCAGAGCTATTCATGGCAACTTTAGATCCTAATCATTCAAACCAAATCCTGCCTTCTCTTCTATCCTTTTGCTGTCTTGATAGTTCTAGAATAATAACATCACAGGAATGGGACAATGGAAACTTAAAAGTCATACAGCTTGTTAATTCCAAATGCTTTTCCAATAGCTATATCACAGTAAAATTTTTGGTGCCATGGAGAAAATAAAAAAAGTTAGAAAAAAGTGGCAAATCTTTCATAAAGTTAAATGTATCTTTTCATTCTGTACCCTTTTTGTTTTTATGATATTAAAATATATTTTACTTCATGAAATTATAATGAAATTGTTAAATAGATATAGATATACGTTACACACTTAGTTGTTAAAATGCAAAGTTGGTTGTAGATCACTAAATGTAGGAGAGGTAATATTGTGAAAGCCCTGGAACTTCTGATTTTTAACACAAGCTTTCTCTCTCCTCAATGAATGCTAGACTGTCCCTTATAACATTCATGACAGTCATAATTGTATCAGGTAGATTATAAAGCTATAAAAACAAAAGTCAGAGTTTGTCTTACATATTCTCATGCTATGAAGTAAGCTAATACAAGTACTGGGGTAACTCCATCAGAGTTCAGCTGATTGTCCAGAGTCCATTTTCTCATGTGCTTTTATGAGCCAGATAGTCCCTACTGTTCATGAGGTGTCATAGACAATAATTACTAATACAGGGAATGCAAATTAGGTAAAAAACTATCCTGATACACCCCAGCCTTCTCAAAACAGGACAGGAAGAAGTCCACTTCAATCACTCAAAGAAACAATCAGCCAGAGGTTAGTGGCCTGAGAACAAAATATAGCTTTGAAACTAGAAAGATAAATAAGCTAGAATCTGGGTGATGATTAAGTAAAGCCTATAATCAAGACAGAGGGAGAGAGAGAGAGAGAGTATAAATTCAACTTCTTTTATTCCCTAAGTAGCAATAATTTTCTTTGCAGAAAATTATGTTTTATTTAGTAAAGTATTTTAAATTTTTGAAAGATGATTTACCCAGCCTCAACTCACAGCATGGTTTGATTTGGAAAGTAATGTCAAAAAAAGGAGATGATTACATTTCTATACTTAAGGAATGAAAGAAAATTTGGGAGAAAAGAAGTCGAGGAGCAGCCTGAGAAGTGGAGAAGGTATGGAGGGGGTCAGGAGAAGTGAGGATTTGAGCAACATGGTGCAGATAGGTGTCTCTTAAAAATTGTATGACAGCCATACACACACCTTGGGAAAAATGTCTGTCCAGTCAGCCTGTGTAGGTAGGCAAAGCTATGGCTGTCCTGGGGTGTCCTTACGGAGGTTCTCCTAGAAATACTGGCTTTAATAGCCCACATGATAAGCTGATCACATTGAGATATTACTACATTGAAAAACAGTTATTAAATTGTCTTCTGTCTTTTTAAGTATGGAAAACTAAAGTCTGAATTTAAACAGATTGCCATTCCTTTAAAGAAAACCCAATTTTCTGGTTTAATCTGTATAAGATTTCTTCCTCCGACCTTACAAAATAAAGTGTTGCCAATATAAATTATTTATTTTCAGAAACAAAAATCTCTTTTGAACTTCAAGGTATAATCTTTTTTACCTCCATCAAATTTTCTGAAATTATTTCTTTCACTCTTTTGTTCTGTTGTAAAGGTCTTCCTTTTTTTTTTTTAAACCAGCATACTTATAACTTCTAGATGGGATCTGAATTCTCTCATCTGCCTTTATAACATTTTTTCTTACCACATTCACTTATTTTTCTTTATTTTTCCCCATACCGTGAAACAGAGCCGTAGCATGCTCTCCATATCACTAAATCAAAGCAATGAACTTTAGTATCAGCTCTGTATGTTTTTCTTCTAATGTTCATTTTAGGTCTACTATTACTCCCTTTTCCCTTAGTATTTTTCTGTATCTCATCTTTTTATTTTACCTTGTATTTTCTTAAAGTTGTTTCCTTATGGATTTCTGACCTTACTTCAGAAGCTATTTTTCCTTATTGGAAATTTCAAGTTTTCTAACAAGGAAACTTTACTTGGTTTTTGTAAAAAAATCACTCACAAAATTTTATTATTTGCTTACATATTCAGAGTGATGTTCCTCTTATTCCATTTTCTTGACTATTGGCAAACACTTGTAAGTGAGAAAATAAAAAGGACATATAAAAACATAATGTACTACCACCAGTGTTATCCCTCCTCCTCATATCCATGCACTACTTCTTGCCTTGTTTACTAAAGCTTTCCTTTTCTAAATTATTGTACAAAAATAGTCATGAAGAGAAAAATTATATCAGGTTTTAAAAGAGAAAATTGAAGGCCACAATAGATGGAAAGATGAAAAGAACTTTTAGATACACTTTACTATTCCAGCTCAAACAAAATCTAACCAAGGGTACCAAAATAGCTTGCAAACTTAAATGAAAAAGTCACTTTTTTCTTTTATTATACTTTAAGTTCTGCGATACATGTGCAGAAGGTGCAGGTTTGTTACATAGGTATACACGTGCCATAGTGGTTTGCTGCACCCATCAACCCATCATCTATATTAGGTATTTCTCCTAATGCTATCCCTCCCCTATTCCCTATCTCCTGGCAGGCCCCAGTGTGTGATGTTCCCCACCATGTGTCCATGTGTTCTCATTGTTCAACTCCCACTTATGAGTGAGAACATGCGGTGTTTGGTTTTCTGTTCCTGTATCAGTTTGCTGAGAATGATGGTTTCCAGCTTTATCCATGTCCCTGCAAAGGACATGAACTCATCCTTTCTTATGGCTGCATAGTATTCAATGTTGTATATGTGCCACATTTTCTTTATCCAGTCTATCATTGATGGGCATTTGGGTTGGTCCCAAGTCTTTGCTATTGTAAATGGTGCTGCAATAAGCATACATATGCATGTGTCTTTATAGTAGAATGATTTATAATCCTTTGGGTATATACCCAGTAATGGGGTTGCTGGGTCAAAGTCACTCACAAAAAATATTTGAGGAATTGTAGAGAACAGAACAGAGGTTGGTTGTAGAGGGCTGACAACCTGGTCTTCAAAAACATTATCCTTTAGACACAACTCTGGTAAATTTGATATAACTTCATTAGAAGTACTTGTGTACTTTATTTTTAAAATTTCATTCATATTAATAATTAATTAACATATATTAGAAGTACTTACGAAGTCTAGAAGTCAGTTCAGATCCAACTGTTTAATAATAGTGGTCATAATCAATTAACCTATTTGGGGGGATCAGGAGATACAAAGGCTAGTAGGGTGTTACTAGGTGAATATCACACATTTCGTAGCAGACTCTGTATAGCACAGTGTATAAGAATAATGACTTTAAAATAAGACTGCTTAAGTCTGATTTCCAGTTCTTCCATGTACTACCTGTGTGAGTTTGGGCAAGTTGCCTAACTGCTCTATTCCTTTGTCTCTATAAAGATAATAATTCACTAGTAGCTATTAGGATACTAATAGTTCCAACCCCATATGATGGTTGTGAAAATTAAATAAATTTAAGTATTTAATGGATTTAGATCTAAGTATCTTTCACATAATGTGCCGAAGAAACATAATTGTAACTAGTCATTTTGTATTTCATCAAAACATTTAATAAAATCGAAGTAGACTTGTACATGACTGAGAAATATGGGCATAACCCGTCTCATAGAGATAGATTGAAAGTGGTAGGACACAGGGCTCTTTCTGTTCAATATTTTTAATACACTACATGACCAAACAAATTGAAAATATGAATATAAAATTTTCAGATGACAAATCTGAAAAAACAATACTAGTGAATTTGAAGATTGAATCCAGATTCAAATTGCTGAAGCATAGGCTTAAATCAACAAGTAGAATTGTAGTAGGCATCAACATAAACTTCTGTATTTAGTTTCCGAAGAGTTGACAACAAGAATAAAGGAGATATAAACAAACAGCAATTTTAAAAGTACTTTAACACTTTTAATTCACAGGGGCCTTGAAATGAGCCAGCACTAGTCTATATTTACCACAAGAAATAATATAATTTAAAATCATAGTAATGTAATTACAGTAGTTTCATTGGACTCTATGCCAATTAGATGGTATCTAGAATATTTTGTTCACTAAAATTTTCATCAGAAACACTAGCAAATTAGAACACTTCACAGAATAGAAATCTTTTGCAAAAAAGTCCCTTAAGAGGAAACTTAAAATATGTTGGAAAAAAAGTTTGAAGAAGTTAAAAGTTTTTTTCTTATTTAAAAACTTTGATGAGGAAGACAAATTATATGATTTTTAACTCTAGAGGAGAAAACTATCATAGTGGGTCAGTAGATCAAAATTATAGATAGAAAGAATTACCGCAATTTAAGGAGGAGTTCTTAACTCACTTTTTTTTAAAAAAAAAAGAGTCCGGGTCTCCATTTCCTATGCTTTTATTATATGACGGGCATTGTCCTAGATGCTTACTGTGACCGGGCCTAAATCATCAATACAAAGATATTTTCAGGACAGTGTTTGTTAGTCCCTCTTTATAGATGAGGAAAGTGAGCCTGTGAGTGCTTAAGTAACCAGCCCAGCTAGTATGTGGAAGAACCAGGCTTTGGACTGACATACGCACTGATGGCAATGCTGATGCTTTTAATAGCAGTACCAGTGAGTTTCCAATCACTCCCAGTGACTTAGCAGCCTAAACAATGTAAAGTGATTCCTGATTTTTGTGTGTTTGGACTAGGTTGAAGCCTTTTAATTAGTCGTTTGTTCAAACGAAACTAGCCAAAACCCCTGCTATCTGAAGTGGGGCAATAAGAGGAATAGTTGCTCCAGAGCAGGCCATTCAACCCTTCCCCAGCACAGCAGCCCTGGAAGAATCCCTAGAAATTTCCAGAGTGCCAAGAAAACCACAGCAATGATTTACAACTCTATCTATCTGAGTCTACCTGATGACTGAGATTATTGACCTGCTAGTTAGCAACTTCCCACATTCCTAACCTCTGTGCTTCTATCTAATACTTCTACCTCAACATGAAGTAAGTAGAAAATAAGTAGACTTTCCTAGGAAGACACTGAGGACCTCTGAGCTAATGAATATGTTTTAAATATAAGATTGGAAAGTTATGAGGCTACCTATTTTCAACCATCAGAAACCAATAATCTTAGTTTATAAACAAAATATTTATCTTGGTTCCTTTTGCTTCGGGTTGAGGATTTAATCATAAAAAAATCTAGTTGCAAGAAACATAAAAAGTAAAAAAATCATATGTGAATATTAAAGACAAACATTATTCATTATAATTATTAATGAAGTGATCCCATTTGCCCAATTAAAACAAAATATCTGATCAAAAATGCAAATATAGCCAGATGAGTATTGTTGAGAAAATATAATTAAAACCAAAATCTTCTCCCAACCCCAAAATCCTCTCCACAAGGGTAATAGAAAAAGAAAACACTTGTATTATTGAATACGCATTAAACCAGAATGTGATATGCGGTACAGACCATCTGCTAAGAGATTGCCAAGATGGAAAGGAATCTTAACCCCTTATATAGCCAAGCAGATACAAACGATTGCATGCATATTTTCAAGATAAACAATAACTAGTCCTCGAGTAACAGAACTTGACAATATCATTCATCACAAATAGCTTACCCTAGGTTTACATAGTAATTGGGTTTATCCAGAGGAAAAACAAACTTCTCACATCTTTATGACAGGAGGTAGTTACACAAATTGGAGAAAGGTACCTACCAAAGTTAGGCTCCCACCCTTCCACAGAAGCTGGGAGAGGAGGATACTGTTTTCCTTGATGTTTGCATTTCAAAAGGATGGCTCTCAAATCTTTTAGAAGACATTCCTGGGTCATAAAGCTGACAAAAGGCCTTTCATATCTTTAAAAGGTTGTATATACTTGTCAAAGAGAGGAGAAAATACTTAAAATTATCAATTGCCTAAAGTAAATGCTCTCCGTTCTCACTCATAAATAGGAGCTAAACAATAAGTACACATGGACGTAAACATGAAAATAATTGACACTAGGGATTCCAAAGAGGGGTGAGGGTTAAAAAGTTACCTATTGGTTATAGTGTTCACTCTTTGGATGATGGGTACACTAGAAGCCCAAACCTCAGCATTATACAGTATATCCATGTAACAAACCCATACATGTACTCCTGAATCTAAAATTTAAAAATAATCTAAAAAATAAAGTAAATATTCTCAGAAAAAGGATGGGAGAAGGGGAATAAGTCTCTTCCTTTATTTTCAAAGGGAAGAATTAAGCCTCTTGTTTTTATTTGTCCTCATAGTATTCAGGGTTATTATTTTTATCATAAAATACGATTTTCTCATAACATGTAAATAAATAGCAAAACTCACAAAGAACATCGAAACTGTGAAAGTATTTATCATTGAATTATGCTGTATAATTCCTTCTCTCATCTCTGGAAAAGCAACACCATGAACGTACTTGGATGTGTTCATAATTTTCCTCTCCTGTGCATGTGCATAGACAAACTGATAATCATCTTTTTTTTGTTTTGTTTTTCGAGACCGTTTTGCTCTATCACCCAGGCTGGAGTGCAATGGTGCGATCTTGGCTCACTGAAGCCTCTGCCTCCTGGATTCAAGCAATTCTCCTGCCTCAGCCTCTGGAGTAGCTGGGATTACAGGCGTGTGCCACCATACCCAGCTAATTTTTGTATTTTTAGTGGAGATGGGGCTTGGACTGGACTCCTGACCTTAGGTAATCCACCCGCCTCGGCCTCCCAAGTTCTAGGATTACAGACGTGAGCCACTGAGCCCGGCCTGATAATCATCTTAATAGAAGTAGCCTCCATGGTTTATAATCCCACTCCCTAGTTATTAAATTCTTACTCTAAATAGCTGATATCTAATGGCAGTATTATAATAGTTTGTTTTCCTCTTGTTGCCCATTATTCTCATCATCATTGCATGGATTATAATATGTATTCAAGCTTTACAGACTGTACTGTCCTTATCCACAGTCTTCCAACTAATTAATTCTTTTCCATCTCAACATTACTTATATAAGCAACATATTTCACTGATCATAGTGGTTATTTCACCCTGTGATTCAATTGAGGCTGCTCAGGGAATATTTAATTTTTGAAAAGAGATCCTCCAGTATACTTCCAATATTTGAAGCACTTATATCTGTTTCATATTCTCCAGTGCTTTTTGACTTTGGAAATTTTCCTGGACTTCACAGCACATTAAGAAGAATGAATATGACATAAGGGAAAATTACAAGTTTCAGTGTTTTGCAAGGTGTAACGGCATATTTTATGGCAATACTGAGATTATTGTACTCCCTAAAGGGAAGTAATAATATAGTTACAAATCTTTTGATAGATTGAAATAAATTGCATTAGATAGCCAATACAATTTCTGTGACTTTTTCTTTGTTTCTCTTTTTTTGGAAGAAGGATATTTTAACTTAATTCAGATATTTGCTTCAGATCTGCTTCCTGTTTCTAAAAATTAAGTTTAAGTATTTTTTTTCTAAATGGCATAGACATTGTAACACCAGAATATCTGGTGAGTGTAATAAATTGTCTGATCTCTTAGCCATGTCTTTATACATTCTGACTTGACTGATTTTGTAATTATCCATTTGGTGACCTAGAGTCTAAACTGCAAGGACTGAAGGCCCACATTTACAAACCAGTGTTCTTCCCAGTATGCCAGGGATTGGGAAGCTATTACTTATGGGCCAAATCCAGCCTGCTGCCAGTTTTTGTATGACTTGCAAGCTAAGAATAGGTTTTATATTTTTGAATAGTTGAAAAAAATATGAGTCATACTTCATGTCACATGAAAATTATATGAAGAACTAAACTATATTGTGTGACTCTGGATGGCCTTATCATCATCTCTCAGTATATTAATTGAGGGAGACCACATAGTTCCATGGAAAGAGGATGATCTTTGTGACTTAAAAAGCCTGGAACTCTTGATCTAAGCCTTGGCACATTCCTGCTATGCTATCTTGAGTAACTTATTTAACTTTTCACTATTCTCATATATAAATCTAGATAAGAATAACAAATATGCAAAGTTTTGAGAATTAAATAAAATCATACGCAATGTATGTGTGACAGCACAGTTTCCTGCTCTCTTTAGTATAATAGACTAAACTATGAGAAAAAATCAGTTTTGGCCAGACAAGTCTGTTAGTCTTGTGAAGTTTCTTGGGAAGGATTAAATGAACTTAAACCTATTCCTATGAGTGTTTGCAAAAACCTCACCTATGTGAGTCTTCTGCAGCTTTCCTGGTCTAAATAATAAATCACATTGTTGCTATTTTGGTTAAATTGTGTCCCCTAAAGAAGATAAGTTGAAGTTCAACTCCCAATACACCAGAATGTGACCTTTATTTGGAAATAGGGTCACTGCAGGTGTAAATAGTTAAGATGATGTTATCCTGGAGTAGGGAGGTCCGTAATCCAATATGACTGGTGTTCTCATAAGAAGATGGCCATGTGAAGACATACAGGAAGAATGTCTTTTGGCATCGAAGGCAGAAATGGGAGTTATGCAATTGCAACCCAAAGAATACCAAAGATTACCAGTAAACCACAAGAAGCTAGCAAGAGGGAAGGAAAGATTTCCAAGAAGTTTCAAAAGAAACATGGTTTCAGACTTCTAGCCTCCAAGAGTGAAATACAACAAATTTTTGTTGTTTTTAAGACACCCTGTTTGTGGTACTTTGTTACAGTGGCCCTAGGCAACTACTGCAGTCACTACACAACCTATTGCCTTCTAATAAATATGCATCTTTAATTGGGGGACTCAGTAGACTCAGAGAAGCTTGACTAACAGGAAATAACAGAGAGACAGTGTAGCAAACACTTATTGGTGACTACAGTGATTGAAACCAAGTCTCATAAAAAGCGTTTTCAAATACTTGTGTAGTTTTTCGTACATAAGCTGGGGTAATGTGTGGGGATTGAGAACTGCCATATGGGTCTCCTTAAACTTGGAGTTCCTTCTCTATATCTTCTTACCAGCATTTTCCAGAGCTTTACTCTAGAGCTCTAAATTTCAGCAACTCTAGACTTCAGGCCCTGACCAACAAGGTTTTTGTATGTAACAAACAAAAAGGTGTCAGTTACTCCTCCCTCTGTCAAAAATTGCATTAGAGAGAGACCTAATCCAACTATGACAAAGAAAGTTCTCTAAATAACTGGATTAATACCTCATTCAATTTGCTTTAATTTGTAGTCTTTCAAATGTGTAAGTTCTACACCCAATTTGGTAAACCAATATAAATTTGTTTTTTCACAGAATGATCTTAAAAAGGAATCCTAAGCCTTCATCATGTAGCCTAGCCTATTGTACTTACCTGTGGTTGAGAATATAAAACACAAGTCATTAGATGTTTTACCAAACCATAAATGTTTTACCGAAAGTAGTATAGATATTGGTGAAATATTCAGTCAGATCTCCTAAATTTTTTATTTTATAACACAGGTTCTTTATAGAAGTACATTTAATTTATTTATTAAATTATTTTCATTTTTATTTATAAAAACATTTTCAGCTTTATTTTAGAAACAATAAAGTTCTTTATTCTAGAAAAAAAGAAGGCTAATTTCCTTTCCAAAATATAATTCCAGGTAGTCTTGAAATACATTTTTGGGGGCAGATTTGGGACTGTAAGCTCCATTTTCCTATACTTAGACACTGTTGACAATACGTTCTCTTTATCTCATTGTTAATCAGTAATTAACAATTGTTAAGACCAATATAGATTCATAGTCTATACTTTATGTAAAAGTTTTTCCTTAATCACCTCAAAAATAATTTAAAAATATATTTTCTGTTGGCATACAATATTAGTTTCAAATGGCTTCAAAGTATTTTTATACTTGAAATTTGTAATTATTTTTCTTCTGAATTACACATTTATCAGATAAATCACACAATAAATAACTAAAAGAAGTGGTTCTACTTTGAATAAATATGGCAGCTTGATTACATATATATACATACACACTCATACACATTGACGTGTTTTGAAAATAAGCTTTTCTTCTGAAATTAGAAATGTAGAATTCAAAATTTATTCATTTATCAAACTATAAAGCATTTCAAAAAGAAGAAAGAATTCCTTCAACATTCATTTAAATGTTTACAATTTGTCATGCAGGCTTTCCTGATAGAAGATTTTACTTCTTAGCAAATAATTACGTGATGTATAGCTGTCAGGAGAAAAATAAATTTACTTTTGTTAATTTATATTTTTCAGAACCATAGTCTTGGAAATTTATTCCAAATGGAATTTAAGCATGTAATATTTGAAAGCAGATCACTCAAATAGAGTAGACAAGGCTTAAATTGAATTGTAACCTACTAATATATAATACTTAAATTATCTTCTAGAATTAATGAGATAGTTTGAAGACAGATTTTTAAATCAGGTGTCAAGCATCCTATAAATTTGTTGGTTTACTTATATGAATTCTTATTTCCTTAAAATATGTGCCCCAAACACAAAGTTATATAATAGCTATATTAAACAACTGCAAATATCATTTGTGAGAAAGATCATTTGGTTCCATTTATTAACATTTTATTAAAATAGCACTTGCTTTAAAGTTCTGCATTTAATAGATATTTTCATACTGCCTCCTTCAAATATTGATTTCTTTCTTCTTTATTGTATTTCAAAGAACTCCAAAGAAAGACCAGCTCAGTACTAAAAACAAAAGAATAATGAAGACTCTGTACTATGGGTTGATGGGTTAATGTAGAAAGGAAACCATGGATATCTAAGTGTTAAACTTGTAGACAATCCTCAGTAGTCAAAGGGAATATGAGTTACTTCCTGTAATAAATGGTTTAAGTTGAAGGGTGATGACAGGGTTAAAGGCATCTCTTGTCCCTAGTATTTTAACACGTGAGAGTATTCATTTGTTTATTCCATTCTGGGGAAAGATGGTTGTTATGGAACAATTTGTATTCTTGGTTTTGTTGCTTTGATTTCTTTTAAACTAATATTCTATTTTCTGATTATCTTTCTTAATTTTCAAGCTTTATATTCAAAGGTTTCCCCAATATAGTTACCATTAATTTATAGGATCTTTCAATACTTATTTTTTCTAAACCTCAGAAAGCTTTTCTAAAAATAATAAAGCATATATATAATACATATTTCTCTTCCTGACTTTTTAATTAGCTAGTATTAACCTTTAGTCATATTTATATTAAAAACAGCAATATTCTTTTTATGATTGCTAAGTTTTTGTTGGGAAAATTTGTAGATAATAGAAAAATAGAAGGAAGAAACTTAAAATCATTCTAAATAGCACCACATAGAAGTATGCACTGTTAAATGTTTTGGTGCTGTTTCCATAACATTTTGACAGTGACATTTTTCATTAGTATCATATTTATGGCTTGCATATTTGCCTTAATATTTTGTGACATCATTAAATGTCATTAAGTAATTTATACTGGCAGCTTAGTTTTTCTTCATATAGCAGTATGATAATTTATACAATTCATGATTTCTTTTTTTCTACTTTTTCTGTGGTACAAATAGCACTCTAATCGATATCCTTGTAGGTACATATATATATATATATATTCACCTAGAATAAATTTCTATAAATAGAATCAGTACCTTGAAGGGTATGATAATTTTTAAGGTTCTTAATAAATGCTATTAAATTGTTCTCCATGTTTATTCATTTTATTACATGATAGCTGTGCTTTGTTTTAATGTGTGTTTGGTATTTCATTGTATAAATATGTTATGCATTCTTTATCCATGCAACTTCTTTCTGTTTGGAACTACAAAACTATCATGAGTTGTGCTAGTCTCTGCATTTCTGTTGGGTGTAATCCTAGGAATGGAATTGCTGGGTCATGCTGTGTGAGTGTCTTCAACATGTGTGTTTAATGCCAACTGGTTTTTCCATAATGGTTATGCCATTTTTCATTCCCACTCTGTGAAAGTGTTCTCATTGTGCCACATATTCGCCAATACTTAGTCTTGTCAGTCTCTTTTTGTAGCCCTTCTTATGGAGTTATAATGATACACTTGTTTAAATTTACATTTACTAACAGGCTGACTGCATTTTTTATATATTTATTGGCTATTTGAATACCTTTAGGGAAACTTCTGCTCATGTTCCTTACCAATTTTTCTCATGTGTTTATATTTTACTAATTTACTTATAGGAGTTCCTTTTTTATGGTGAATATGAGCCTTTTGTTTTGTGTTCATGTTATATTTTCCTGCACTTTATGCTTCATCTTTACACTCTCTTCATAGTGTTTTGTTGTTGTTGTTGTTGTTGAACAGAGTTCGTAGTTGTAATGTGATCCAAGAAAATGATCTTTTTCTTTATGGTTGCTATTGTTTGTATCTTCTCTAGGAAGACTTTTCTACCCTTAGATCATAAGGATATCCTTTCATGTTATCCATCAGACCCACACTATTCAATATGGTATACACCAGCCAGTGAATATTTAAAATAAAATTAAAATTGAGGAAACCGAAAAATTCAGTTTCTTATTTTCACTAGCTAAGTTTCAAGTGCTCAGTAATTACATATGGCTAGCGGTTCCATATTGGACAGTGCAGACATAGAAAATTTCCATCATCACTGAAATTTCCATTGGACAGCACTGTCTTAGAAACTTTCTTGTTTTAACTTTCACATTTAGATCTGCAACCAATCTCAGATTGATTTTTATTTTTGGTATGCTGCAGATGTCAAGTTGAGTTTTTGAATTCCATATGGATATTCAATTATCTTAGCACCATTAATTGAAAAGATGGTCATTTTTCTACTGCTCTGTTACACCAAATTTGATTTAAAAGTTGTGTACGAATACGCATAGACCTATTTCTACTATTATTTTTTATATTTGTGCTAATATGTCACTGTCTTAATTTCTTTCCTTTTTTTTTTTTTTTTTTGAGAGGGAGTCTCGCACTGTCACCCAGACTGAAGTGCAGTGGCGCGATCTTGGCTCACTGCAATCTCCATCTCCCAGGTTCAAGTGATTCTCCTGCCTCAGCCTCCCGAGTAGCTGGGATTACAGGTGCCCGCCACTACGCCCAGCTAATTTCTTGTATTTTTAGTAGAGACGGTGTTTCACTATGTTGGCCAGTCTGGTCTCGAACTCCTGACCTTGTGATCCATCCTCCTCAGCCTCCCAAAGTGCTGGGATTACAGGTGCGAGCCACTGCGCCCAGCCTGACACTGTCTTAATTTCTAAATTACTGTGGCTTCATTGGTAGGTGGTAGTATCATTCTTCCCACTTTGTTCTTCTTCAAAAATATCTTGGCTCACTTTTGGCCATTTGTATTTTCATGCAAATTCTAGAATCAGCTTGTCAAGCTCTACAAAAATAGTCCGTTTGAAACTCAATTGGAATTCCGCTGAATTTATAGCTCAGTTTGGGAAAACTGATATATTTATAATAGAGTCTTCTAATCCATGAACTTATGTCCACTAACTTAGATCTTCTTTAATTTCTCTCCATACCATTTATTTTTCCTGAGAGAGGATTTGCACATCGATTGAGAGAATTATTCCTAGGTATTGGATACTTTATTTATTTGTACTTTTGATGTCTTTACAAGTGATATTTAAAATTTGATTTTCTGTCTGTTTGAGGCGGGTGTATAAAAATGTATTTGATTTGAATATTTGCTTTGTTTCCAAAAACTTACAAAACTGTCTTAAGTCTAAAAATGTCTTTGCAAATTAACTTGGATTTTCTACATATACAGTTCGATAATCTGAAAATTATGACAGTTTTAATTATTTTCAGTCATTTTTACTTTATATTTTAAAATTTCTGCCCTTATTCACTACCACCTCATTAGCACCTAGAAGTCAGTCATGCTACTAGGTATTGTTCTCATTTCTAATCCTAAAGGAATAATTTTAAAATCACACAACTGAAGTGTAATATTTACTGTAGGTTTCTTGTTTAGCTTTTTCCTATGGAAGTTCTCTAACATATATCAAAGTAAGCAGACTATCATAATGAACACTTATGTTTCCATCACCCAACTACAAAAATTAGCATTGTCCTGCCATTCTCATTTTATCGATGCCTGCATCCATTCCCTAAACCTTCACATAATTATTATTACTTGTTTACAATTCTTGCTTTTTTAGATAAAATTTATGTATATTGAAATGCTCAAATATTAGCCATACGGTATTGACAAGGAGATACACTGCAGCTTTCTCCAGAAAATTCCCTCATTGTTCCTTCCCAATCTGCTCCTTGCCCTTTCACCTGCCAGTGGCAGCCAAAGTTCTGATTGTATTCAAGTTAGACTTTTTTTCCTATTCTTGAATTCATATAAATGGAATTATACAGTATGTACTGTTTTGCTCAATATAATGTTGAAATTTAAAAAAATAAACATTAGTAGTTTGCTGCTTTTTATATTTATGTAATATTCCATTGTATGAACTTAACACAATTTATTGGTCTATTTTGTTCATGGAGTCTCGGTTTGTTTCCAGCTTGAGGTTATTAACAATAAAAGTGCTGTAAACATGGTTTTCCAAGTATTTTTGTGGAAATATATATTTATTTCTCTTTAACAATTACCTAAGACCCCAAATTGCTGATGTACATTGAACTTTATATGAGATTATCAAGACTTTTTTTGGATAATTAAATTGATTGTAACATTTTTACACCTCTACCAGCAATGTAAGAGAGTTCTGATTTTAGTCATTCTGGTGTGTGTATTAGTGATAACTTGTTTTAATTTGCATTTTCCTAAAGATTAACACTTTTAACTAATTTAACTTTAATTTAACTAATGATGAACATTTTTCTTGTGTTTATTGGCCATTCGTATACCTTCTTTTAAAAAATATTTATTAAAGTCTTTTGCTCCATTATTTCCTTGGGTTATCTTTCATATTTTATGCAGTCTGAATGTAACTCCACTGGCAGATACATATTTTGAGAATATTTTTTTCTTGTCTATGGTTTCAATACTCAATTTGTCAATGCTGTCTTTTGATTTGCAGAGGTTTAAATTTTCATGGTCTAATTTATCATTTTTAAATTACATGTTTAATACTTTTGATGTCCTGTCTAATAAATATTTGCATACAGGGAAGGCCATGAAAATATTCTGTTTTGGTGTATTTTGGAAGTTTTACGCTTAGATCTACAAACAAAGTTGATTTTTTGTGCATAGTTTGAGATAGGGTCTAGATTATTTTTCTCCCATATATCCAGTTTGCCAGCACTGATATTGAAAAGATTCTCCTTTCTCCATTTAATGCTTTTGTATCTTTATTGCAAATCACTTGACCTGTCAAGTGTGAGTCTATGTCTGGATTATCTATTAAATTAAACTCATCTATTTTCTTTCCTTAAGCCAGCGCCACAATATAATAAGCTTTAACGTCAGGTTGTGTAACTCCTTCAGAATGATTTTTCTCTTTTAAGGTGGTTTTGGCTATATTAAATACTGCACATTTTCACAAAATGTTTGATTCCGTTTGTCATTTTATATACAAGTAGCCTATAAGCATTATGACTGGGATTGTATTCAAACCATAGGTTTTTGAAATAATTGATATCTTGACAGTGTTGGGTCTTCCAATGACCACATGGCATCTATCTCCACTTATTTAAGTTTTTTAAAAAACTTTCAGTAATGTTTTCTTAAATTTAGTATAGAGGCTTTGCAAATTTGGGTTAAATTTATTTTTAAGTATGTAATGTTTTTAACATATGTTTTATGTACTTTGTATTTAAAAGGAAACTATTTTATTTTACTTTCCAGTTGTTAGCTCCTAGTATAGAAAAATACAATTGATTTATATTGTCATTGTACTCTCAGACCTTGCTACACTCACTTATTAGTTTATTATAGTAGATGTTTTATTGATTTCTTAAAATTTCCAAATACATCATTATGTCATTTCCAAATTCTTCCTTTGCAAACTATGCTTTTCGTTTCTTTTTCTTGTCTTACTTTGATTGCTAGAGCCTCCAATACATTGTTAAACATAGTGAGAGCAAGCATACCTTCCTTATTCCTGCTCTTAGAAAAAAGCATTCAGCATGTAATCATTCAGCATAATATTTGTGTAGGTTTTTCATAGATGCCTTTTATGTCAGACTGATGATTTTTATTGTTAATGAGTGTTGAATTTTGAAAAATGCTTTTTTCTGCCTCTATTGAGATAATTATACAGGATTTTCCCTTACATTGGTCATTATATGGCATCACTTTATCCATATATATTTGATTTGATTTGTGATATAGTTTGGATGTTTGTCCCTCCAAATCTCACTTTGAAATGTGATCCCCAATGTTGCAGGGGGGGTCTAGTGGGAGGTGTTTGGGTCATGGGGGCAGATCTTTCATTAAGGGCTTGGTGCCCTCCCAAAGGTAAGGAGTTCACACCAGATCTGGTTGTTTAAAAGAGTCTGGGACCTCCCACTGCTCTCTTTCTCCCTCTCTCGCCATGTGACACACTGGCTCCCTTTTACCTTCCACCATGACTGCAAACTTCCTGAGGCCCTCACCAGGAGCAGAAGCCAGTGCCATGCTTCTTGTGCAGTATGCAGAACTGTGAGCCACAATAAACCTCTTTTTAAATTACCTAGCCCCATGTATTCCTTTATAGCAATGAAAATGGACTAACACAATTTGATAAAGTTTTGTTAAAGATTTTTCTTTCTATTGTAATGAGAGACAGTGGTCCATAATTTTCTCTTCATGTAATATCTTTCTTAGTTTTCTCATCAAAGTTATATACTATACTATTAAAATTAGAATTATTCCTTTCTATTCTATTTTCTGAATGTGTTAGTGTTTCTGTTAAATTCGTATTACAGTAGTCCTCCTTTATCCATGGAGGATACCAAGTCACCGTGTGGCTGCCTGAAACCATTGATAGGGATAAACCTGACTACCATTTCTGTTTCTGTCTTCCATTCACAAATTGAATGGCTTTTCTATCTTAACTAAGAACTTATCATGCACTGTGGCTGTAGCTTTTGCAGTTTGGGGTGCAACAGCAAAAACTAGCACAAATTTCTTTTTCCCTCTTCACAAATTCACAGATATATTTTTTCTTACTGTAGTTCTTAGCAACTTCAGCATACAATGTTTTTCTTTCCTTAAGTCGAGAACGTTCACCTTTGACTTAAAGGAAGGACTTTACAGATTCTCTTTGGCACATTCGAATTGCCAACATCACTACTCTTGTGTTTTGGGGCCATTATTAAGTAAAATAAGGGTGACTTGAACACAAGCACTGTGATATCTCAACAGTTGATCTGATAACTGAGATGGCTACCAAGTGACTAACAAGTGCGTAGTGTATACAGCATGGATACACTGGACAAGGATAATCAAGTCCCTGGCCTGACGAAGCAGGATGGTGTAGAGCTTTGTTTTGCTCTACTCAGACTGGCATACCATTTAAAACCTACAAACTGTTTATTTCCAGAATTTCCCATTTAATAGTTTTGGACCGTGGCTGACCATGAGTAATTGAAATCACAGAAAGCTAAACTGCAGATAAGGGAGGGCTACTATATTTATTCCTTAATTAGTTGATGGAATTTGCAAGTCAAGCTAGCTAGGTCTTGGGTTTTGTTTTGAAGAGGTCTTTTGATAACAAATTCCATGTTATTGATAGACATAGGGGAGCTGCTGCCTTGTTACTGCCAGATGGGATTAGAAGCCCAGGGTCCTCATGAAGCCTCCACTAATATCTCCTTGGGTGAAAGGGATAGGAGTGCCTCATTTGTGCTCCTCACATGGGGGTGAGGGATGCCCCCACTACTTCTGGGTGATGATGAAAGTCCTGATTTTCTACTAGGTCATTGTGAATACCATCCATGTGAAGAGTGGAAAGAATTCCTCCTTACTGCTGGATGCAGGTGGAAGTTTAGACCCCTGATAGGGTCCCCACTGGCCCTAGAGGTGGGATTTTATACCACCTGGTGAAATGGAAGTCTAGGTCCCTACTCACCTTCTTTGACACTACCCCAGTAGAAAGGTTGGGTCCCCACTTCTCCTTGCTAACACAGATGGGGGCAAAACTATAGCCTTATCTTTGGGATTTTGCCTGAGTAGAATGGCTATTGTCTGTAATTTTTTTTGCCATTCGAGGGTCTCCCTTTCCTGATCCTTTAATTAGAGAGAGAAGGCTTTAGTGGGGGCTGATTTTTGTCTGCGTCTGTTGATATTTCCAAGTTGCCAGCTCCTTCAGCTTCAAGCGTGGCACATATAGGACAAAAAGAAAAACCAAGGGACTCACAATCATGTTAGTCAAAAAACATGTTTGGGAAGACATTAAATTATGGATTATTTTGAGGAAAATAACTTCTTTAAGTGCTGAATTTCTCCATTCAAGAAAACGATATACCAGCTTAAACTGTATAAAATTGTCAACATTTTACTGTCTTGATGATCTATAAAAAGTTCAATTTCATTTATTTAATTTCCAAGGTTAATTTTTTTTAATACAGTACACTAGTCAGGAAATTTGATGTTTACTCCTTATCAGAGCAAGTTTTTCTCTCCTTGTAGATGGCATGGTTAATTTACTGAAATAATGTTGTCTTAATATTTCACAACATTTAATGTTCATATGAACAGTTATAGGTTTCTAAACCTGTGCACAATTACATGCATAATACTGGAATATTGGACCAACCTTATATTGTGCTACAATTAAGAAAAGGAATATGAGAGAAACGTCTGCCCAGCACTGTTGGATTGTTTCTCTAGGAAACCAAGCAGTATTAAGATTCTTAATACACAGTTAAATGATGGGAAAAGTGGAGTACACAGTTTCTAGTGCGAATAAGGTGACTTGACTTAGAAACTGTTCCAGCTACTGTGCTTTAGGAACTGGCTTGACTATGTCACAGCATAGATGAGATGATGCCAACTTGATAATTTCAGTTCAAACTTCTCAAACAGCTGCTGCATTTTAGCTGATGCCAACTCATGTGAAAGTGCCAATGTTTGGATTCTTTCAGATTTAGTAGATTCACTGGACTGTCCCTCCAATTACTGTGATTCCTCATCTGGAACACTTCTGGATAGAGTCCAAAAGGGAAAACATTCTGCTAAATTAGCTTTTCTACTAAGTTTTAATATTAATTGACCACTCATTCCTCATGTGATTTTTGTTTTTTGTTTTTTTTTGTTGTTGTTTGTTTGTTTTTGAGACAGAGTCTTGCACTGTCATCCAGGCTGGAGGCTCACTGCAACCTTCGCCTCCTGGGTTCAAGCGATTCTCCTGCCTCAGCCTCCTGAGTAGCTGGGATTAGAGGCACCTGCCACCACACACAGCTAATTTTTTGTATTTTTAGTAGAGACGGGGTTTCACCATGTTGGCCAGGCAGGTCTCCTGACCTCGTGATTCGCCCGCCTCGGCCTCCCAAAGTGCTGGGATTATAGGCGTGAGACACCGCACCCGGCAGCTCTTTAAAAATCATGCTTGAGTTTTAAACCTATTCATTTCTCCAGCTAGAAATGAAAAGTAAATCTTGACAAAGGAAGAATGGCCACTCTACTGTCTATCAGACTCACCCAAATAGTCATTTGTCACCTATAAAGGGAACATGTTCTTCAAGGTCTTGTTTTGTTTCCTGATAAACTGTGTAAGATCTGCCTCTGTATTTTCATCACTCTCTGGGAGTGTTTGTGATCTGTTTTTATATATTTTGATTTTTTAAAAGTTTGTACTTATTCTACATTTCTCAATCATGCAAGCAGGATCTTTTGGTGAGTTTGATGAAACTCTGTTGAGAGTGACTGAAAAATTAGTCATGTTCTTTTGGACCCTTTATTTCCCAACAGATATACCAATTTAATTGGAAAGGCTTTATTGAGTTTACTTCAATTGAAATATATGAGAAATCCCAAAATGGGATTTTATTTGTACTATACAATTATATCATAACACGCATACCCCATCATGATTGATTAAATTGGATTCACTGGATAGAATATTGTTATATTCTATCATCTCTGTCTACAGAGGAGTAAAAAAGAGTATGCTGATGACATGGTTTTATAATCAAATGTAGAAGTGTTTCAACAAAAAACTGCTCTGCTAGCTAATTATTGTCAGAAAGGATAATTTTTAAATCCAAATGATCATTTTTGGCAGCTATTGTCTAACATTTAATTGGTATACATTTATGGAATCTAGAGAGTAGCTAAAATAATTTAGACACTTAGAGATATATTTTGAAACCTGTTCTTTTTGGACTGCTTCACTACTTGAAATTTTGCAACCAAATTTTTAATGATTGTGATTGGTGTTTAAAACACTTTTGACATTTCAAGGCTAAAATGTTCATGTAATACTGTATAAGCCCAAACATTGAGGTTTTGATCACCACTTAGTCCAATATTTGAATAGCTTCAGAGTTACAGTTGCAGAAAATATTGGCCCTGCCCGTACACACAGACTTGTCTTATCTGGAACCGTTAGTGGGATGGCCTTCTACTCAGGCATGTATGCTGATTAGAGCATCTTATTTTCATAAGCTTTCAATCCAGACTTCAACTGTTTGCCATAGCAAATGCATATGATCTGAGTTGTTAGCTTAGATGATCTACAATTAAGTTTCGTAAAAATTACCTTAAAGAGGAGCAGTTCATTGTTTTAGGCATTTAACATTTCATCCTTGCACCAAATTATGCCATCAATAAGCCAAAATGCTGAGCTACACACTTTAGATGATTTACAGAATTTTGAAACTGAATTTTTATTTGATGTTGTTTTAACTTCCATTGAGGTATATCATAGGTGTAATCCAAGGGTCACCACTTCCTACTGGACTATGATTACAAAGGATATTATAAGTTAACATAAATTTCAAATTTTGCTGGCTGGCTTTGTAGCTTTGACCAGCACAGCAACAGGCTCTCTAGCTCCCTGCGAGTATCACGTCCCCACTCTACTCCTTACTACCTGGAATATCTGAGTCCTGAGGAGGTGTTTACTCATGTTTCCATACAGTAGTAGCTGTGCTGCAAAAGGAGCTATCAGTCATCAGAAATGACCTTCAAGATGTCTCAGTCTCTCTGTTTGCTCCATCAAGCACAGTATTTCTTTGCTTGTAGCCTGTGCCATCAGGTCCTCTATCCTATCCCTTCTCCTATTCCACATATGGGATCTCTGAGCCCTTAGGATACTAAAGCTGATGGGTAGTCTATAATAGAACTAGAGAAAATGAGCCCTCTTTTTATGTCTTATGTTATGTTGGAGGAATTTCAAAGTAGTATTGCTTAAACCACAGTGAATTACACAAATAGCTATTTCAGTTTTATTTATTAGTTTCTATGTTTGTAGGACCTAAACATATGTTGATGTGAACAAGAACATGATTACTAATGTTTTTCTGCTCCTGCCAGCTTGACAATGACTAATGTTGGCTGGCCTCTGTTTCAGAGTTATGTGTAGTTTCTGTTGAAGATTCTTATACACCTAATGGAAACACTATTCTTGCTTCTACTCTGGACACTACACTCATGACTACTAAGCTTCCCTATAGCATGATGTGCAATGCAGAGAAGGGGAGGAGTGGATGCCTCTCTTCTTAAGTATTTGATGTGCTTTGAAACATGGAAGTTTTAACACTTGTTCCCATAGTCAAATGAAGTCATTTATGAACACAGTTCATTTTTATGGTGCTACCCTCTCCCCATCAAGCCCCCATCACCAAGTCAAGAATGAGACTGTGGCTGTAATAGCCTTTCCATTTTCTCTGTTGGCCTAACTGGCTGGTGTTCTAGCACCAAAGCAAATCTCTTACTAACCCACAAAAACAAAGGCATCCAAGCAGAACATCACATGCAAATTAATGCCTACAAGGTCACAGGCCTACAGGCTCCAGAAACAGCAATTCATTTTGGGCTCAGTTAGAAGTTTAGTACCTAGCAGGAACACCTAAGTTGCACAAGTGATAAATAAAGAAACCAGAATCTGCTGCCTGCAGCTTTGCTTTCCCAGCTTCTCTTCACATCAACTAGGCTTGTATTTCTAACTTTCTATTTGGTATAGTCCCGTGCTTTTTTGTGGAATCAACTGCTTTAATTTCTCCTTTCTGTTGTAATATGTTTCAGATAATGCAGGCTAACTCCCCGAATAATGTTGAAGGCCCTTTCTCCTAACTGCGCACAGCTCACATTGCTGTGCCTTTCTGGCCTTGGAGGTTTGGTGACCAAACTTGTAATGGCAGACACAACAGCAGACACATTGTAGGGGCCTGATGAATGTTTACTGGTGATTCTGAATTTAGTACCAATAATGAGTTACTTTATTTCATTACAGAATCACACTGTTCTGTAGCTGTTTCTCATCCAGACTGTCACTCTAAATCACTGAATTACATTCCTCAAGGCTTTGTCTGAGCTACAACCTGAGTATAAATTAGACATCTTTGGAAAATGTTTTAAATTTGTTCATGATAATAGTTTTTTGGGGGGTAAAGAGGAGGAAGAGGTGTTGTGTTGCTGGTGTTGTGTGACAATGAATATAGCCTTGTCAGTATGAATCCAAATTAAGGCTCAAATGTCATACTCAGTGGGTAGAAAAGGCTGAGCCAGCATTGGCTTTCCTAGATCTAGCTAAGTACAAAAAGCAGCCTACTTGGAAGAAATGTGCAAATGTGAATTAAATATGTTCTAGCTACAATCAAATACATAGGAAGTAAACCTGTTTATATCTTCAAATATGAGTGACATTTCTATGTAACTCCTTCTTATAAGAGTTACTGATTAGCTTGGAATTATCAAAATTTACTTTTCAAGGAACATTTCTTGTATTTGTAACACCAATTATAGGACTAAGTAAGCATCAGTAGCACTTACGAGTATCTATATCACCGGCAGATCTGAAAAAAATATCTACATTCATTCCATGGCATTAACAAATTATGCTACTTACAAGACAGTAGCAACTGACCATTTGCCCTATTTAGGCTTAGACATTGCACAGCCTTTGGAAATCTGCCCCACCAAATTCTAAAACTGACCTTAATCACTTAAAAATATTCTGCAATGTTAGGTGTGCCACTTCTGTACTGAATTGCAAACTCTTTACTGACAAAGACATTGTCTTCTACCCCTCCACTCTGTTCACGGTTGCATTGACAACATTCATTTAGCAGCTTCCAAATAAACACTGTTGACTGTACTCCTCCTGAAATACAACATTTCCCCAGTTTAGATATATTTTTATTGATTTATTGAACCCCATAACTCAGGAATTCTTAACCTGAAGTTCATGGATAACATTCAAGTGTGTGCTTTTATATGGGGAATGACTGACATTTTTATTTTTATA
Source organism: Homo sapiens (assembly GCF_000001405.40). Lineage (NCBI taxonomy): Eukaryota > Metazoa > Chordata > Mammalia > Primates > Hominidae > Homo > Homo sapiens. Next base: position 113,546,845 of record NC_000007.14, on the reverse strand, counting down.
AACCTCTACCAAAATTTAGCATTTCCTTCAATTAAGAAGGTGGACAACAGCACATACTAGTATTAATGGTAGCTATGACTATAACCAATAGAAAGCAGTTGGGATTTTCCATTTCTAATCTTTAAGTATCCTTTATACTCATAACTATTTGAAATGACGTGGGTGATGGCACCAGCCCCACTAGATTATATGTGATCATAGTTGTTTGTTTATAGATGCTAGTGTAAACCGGCTGCCAACTTGTGGGCAGCTGTGCCTGGTGATCCCTTAGGCACCTAACCATGCAGTTGCATAGGTTAACATCGGTGATTCAGACATATGCATTACTTTCAGATATCCCCTGTCTACAACTGTTTATTGATCAATATGTGGAATAAGGTTAGTCAAAGCCTACCCTACAGTGCAGTGTTCTTACCTAAGCTAAGTAAAAGCAGCCTATACAAATCATGTCTTTTAAAATGTTAAATTTAACTTTTAACTTGTCTTATATGTTTATTCGTTATAAAGAAGTATATATTATGACATTTCTTAAACATTTTGTTAAGTCTTTTGGTATGACACAAAGCTTTCAATGAATGTTTGTCCCAAGGACTAGAAAATAATGGATTTGGAAGCAAGTCCAGATCTCTCATGCCAGTGATTACTCAGGATCATTGATTAATAAACCTCCTTATTTTTCTTTGTTATCTTCTTCTAATTAATTAGTTTGTCCATAATGGAATAAAACTTTGTAATCCTGTGTCAGTATGGTGCCAAAGAATTTCATGAAGGCTGCATTGTATGGCTACTTGTAAAGATTTTCCAACTTTGAGAAGGGAAAATTGCCCTTTGCAACTATTAGGCTTTCAAAAAGTAGATAGAGCAGCAAATGGTGAAAATAGAAAAGTAGAATTAAACCAAGTATTTGGCTTATAGACAAGAGCAACCATTTTCTCAAAGAATTGAGATCAGCAAAACTGATTTTCAGGTATAGAGATTTTATTTATTTATTTATTTATTTATTTATTTATTTAACTTTTAAGTTCAGGAGTACATGTGCAGGTTTGTTATACAGGTAAACTTATGTCATAGGAGTTTGTTGCACAGATTATTTCATCACCCAGATATTAAGCCTAGTAGCTATTTTTCCTAATCCTCTCCCTCCTCCCACCCTTCACCATCTGAACACACACTGAGGTATAGAGTTTTTAGGATCCCTTTAATTGAGTAAATATTTTAAGATTGCCATTATTAAGGCATTTATTTCTAAATTCTCTCTGCCACAATAATATCTAGGTATTTTCCATAAAAATTATCTATTCAACCTAAGGCTTTAAATGGAACTGAATTCAATGCTCTGGGAAACAAAGTCACACATAGTAAATAGTCAATTGCTGAGCAATCAATTGAAACAGAAACTTTGTTTGAGACCACTGATTACTATTAGGCTAGATAGAAAAGAATCTGCTAAAAGTGGAAGATTTGGTGGCACCATATGGACATGATAGTTCTGTATAGTTGTTACCTTGACAACAGACTTTGCCATAAATAAACAGAAAGATTGTTTACCTGAAGCATTAAGATTCATCCCAATAGAACACTGCAATTATGCAGTTTTTCTGTGACAGAATTGCTTTTATGAACTCAGAAATCTATTCTGCACCATGTTCTATAACACTGCTTTCCCATAATTTTTTTAGAAAGTGAGACCTCAGCTATACATTTAAAGTAAACCATGATGACAGCATCTAGTTTACTAAGAAGTTTCTACAAGTCTTTGAAGATTACAGCAAGTAAATAGAACTTATAACAAAATGTTTAGTTCTGACTTGGTTTCTCTTTTACCAACTGACTAGAAATGGCAATTGGACAGATATGACAATAGGTTGATAGATTTTGGAAAATCATTCACAATGATAAAAAATTATAATTTTACTATTATTTTTGTTTAGTTTTATTTAACATAATACTATAGTTGAAATGACATCAATTTGGCTCACTTGTCTTACTTTCACAGTGAAGAGAAATGGATATTTGGAAATCGTACTTGCGTGTGGCATGGGCCTAAAATTTACATTTTATGCTAGTGTTTCTATTTGTTTGCTTTCCTTCCAAAGACCCTGTCAATGAGAAAAACATGGAGGTGGTAGGTAGTTTAAAGACAGAACTCACAGAATTGCCTAATATGTTATATGTGGGATGTCAGAGAAATTGTATGATCCAGAGTGACTTCACCTTTTGGGTTTGAAGAAACTGGGTGTCCAATAACAAAGATTGAGGAAGGAGGAGATTTAGAGGCAGAATAAACAATTTAAAACTAATTTTAGATTGTTTATTATCTAGATATCTCAAATTTAGACACCTGTTAGACATCTACATCGAGATATTGAGAAGTCATTTGATTATAATAGTGATGAGAGGGATTAAGACTAAAAAGCCTTATTGGAATTGTGTAGCACAAAGATAATTTAAAGCCAAACCAATGGATAGGATACCTTAGGGAGTGAGTGGCTATACAGAAGAGAAGAGCCCCCACGCCTAAGACAGGGACTACTCTACTCTAAAATGTAAGAACTTTAAATGTGAGGAATTTCTAGCAAAAGACACTGGGAAGGAGTGGCCACTGAGTCAGAAAAATATCCAGAGAATGTGGTGTAAAAAAATGTTTAAAGAAGAAAGTTGAAATCAAGAGCTTCAAATACTGCACAAAGGTCAAGTAAGATGGAAACTAATAATTGCCCATTGAATCTGTCCAAAAGATCACCAGTGACCTTGATAAGGATTATTTTGGTAGAGTAATGAAAAATAAAGCCAGATTGGAATGGTTCAATACAGATTAGAAGGTAAGCAATTGGAAATAGTCAATATGCACTACTCTGTCTAGAAGTGCTACTGTGAAGGGGAACAGTTTGATTTAACGAGCTTTGGAGTTTTGCCAAGAAGACTAGGAAAAAGATGTTCATGGGTTGCAATTGTTACACTTGTTTCAGAATGGAAAATTTATACTGCCTTATTCTATTCAGGCTGCTATAGGAAAATACTGAAAATACCCCAAACTGGGTAGATTAGAAATAACAGAAATTTATTTCTCATAGTTTGGGAGGCTTGGAAGTCCACAGTCAAGATGCTGGCAGATTGGGTATCTGTGGCCTGTTTTTGTTTCATAGATGATGCCTTCTCACTGTGTCTTCACATGGTGGAAGGGCACAAACAAGCTCCCTCAAGTCTCTTTATAAGGGACTAAGCTCATTCATTAGGAATTAACCTTCACGACATAATCACCTCCCAAAGGCCCCATTAATGCAGGACAAGTGAGTCCCCAAATTGGGACTTAGCCTGGGAGAGTTTTCAGCTTTGTCCAGGAGAGAATTTAAGAGGGAGCTGGTGGTGTTAGACAGCAATCTTTTATTGAACAGTACTGCTCCTTGTGGACCAGGGCTAACTCATAGGGAGTGCACCTGGAGTCAGCAATGTATGGGAGCTTGGCAACTGTATTTATACACATGTGAACCCACTTTCAATTATATGCAAATTAAGGGACGAGTCAATGCAAATTGAGGGTTGGGTTATTTAGGACTTTCTAGGAAAGGTGCAATAAATTCCAGGTTGCTGCCATGGGAATGGGTGGCAACTTCCAGGTGGTTGCCACAGCTTTTGTAAACTGTCCTGGCATGATGAGAGTGTCTTATGCTAATGAGGAATGAAGGGAGCTAGAGATTGCTTTTGTCACCATGTCCTTGCAGGTCTCTTTGCTTTCTTTTGTCTGGATCAGATTCTGTTTTTGTCAGCAGGGTTGTGACCAGAAAGCAAGTCCTGCCAGTCTCTTACCATCTCTTAATTAATATCATCACATTGGGAGTAGGCTTTAATATATGAATTTATGGAGGACGCAGACATTCAAACCATAACATATAGTATGTTTTCATTGTGACGGAAATGATCCAGTAGAGTGAGAAAAACTGACGACCCAATTAATGGGGGAATAAGTGAAGAAAAAATATCTGAGGTAAATGATGAGGGGTAGAATTCGGTGCACGAATAGTGCGACTTTGGCTGAGGGATGGGAAGAGATAGTATATTTCTTTTAGTACAAGAAAAGGCAAGATATACCAGTATAAACAAGATTACCTGCAGCAAGATGTAAATGTTCTTTTAAGATTACTTCAATAATCTTGTTGAATTAATAAGCTAGGTTGTTATTTGAGAGTGAGAATACTGGTGGGATACAATATTTAAACAGAGTGGATGAGATATAAAGCAATATTCTTAGGAAATGAGGAGTACAAACTGATTATGAGAATGTCATGGAAGTATTGGGTAGCATTGGGGGTTCACCTCAGTTTGGTGAGTTAGAATCTGAAACAGGACAAGTCAGCTTGGCTATATTTTCTCCAGCTGTATCTTTTACTCTGTTGTGCATCTGTAGTAAGCATTGAGTTTGATTTAACCAGCTTTGGAGTTTTGCCCAGAGGAAGGGAGAAAGAAGAAAAAGAATTATATGTGCATGCAAAAGAGTGATTATAATAGTTAATCATGGATCTGATTCTGTGTAAGAAAAGAAATGAGGACACAACATGGATGAAGTAAAAAGCTAATAAGGTCAATACATTGAAGTTCTGAGTTGTATTAGAAAGCAATTGGAATTGGGGTGCTAGAAAAAGTAAGATGGAAAGATGGAATTCGTCAGCAAAAACAAGAATATTTGAAATTAAAATTGTTTATGGGTTGTCCTTATTGCATACTACAAGACCTGGAATACATTAGAATACATGGCTGAGGTAAGTGAAGGGGAAAGAATCACTAGAAGTGAGCAGGTCAAGAAAATACCAAGTCAGATATTGAATTTATAGTGATACATGGAATTGAAATTAGTAAGTTGAGAATGAGAATAATGGTTAAAAAAATTCTTGAATCAGGTGCTATTATCATCAGTTAATGAGAGGACGTGGCTATCAGGAGTGGAGATAACTGGAGGCACAATAACATGAAAATCTATTAGACATTTTATGGAAGACAAAGGAAAAGAATCTGGAAGGAGCAATGAGTCAAGGTGAACCTACCATATCTTTAGGAATCTGTGGAATGCCACTGCCAGATTAGCGAAAGCTAGCTTCCAATTATAGCAAAAATAAGGGATCATTTGTAGAATATGCAGAGCCACATGGAAAAAAGAGTCTGGGAGAGGAGAGATGCTGAAGTAAATGGAAATGGAGGGCATGATGAAGTTATTCTCTTGAGAAATTTATATTTTAGTTTACTTCTTTAAACAGTTCTCAGGTAGTCTGTAGTGTAAGTCAGTGAGTATAGTTGGCAGTAACCAAAACTGATCACATCAGGAACATGGGGTACTCTGTGCCCTCCTCCCATTTTGCAGAGAGGGAATGTTGAGACTGGTGAAATAGCCTTGCTAGGAGCATACAGATTTAAAGATTATATAATGTAGTATTTACCAGATCCCATAGGGCTTTGCAGTGACATTTAAGTACATTAGCAGAATATGGTGAGATCTGTTTTTGAATTTTACAAGATAATTCTGAGCTGTTAGATCAAAGGTTGTTCTTTTATGGGAAATGGCAGACTTCGGCAAAAAGGATGTTTGAGAAATTCTCTTAGTAAAATTCATGTTTTCTCATTATTGTACTCTGAGGTACAACCAAATATTTAGTAGCAGTGGTAGGAAGAATATAGGTGATCCTGGAGAGCAGTGGAGACAATGATAATTCATTATTTTAGGAAAAAATGATTTGTATTTATACCAATCAGTTTCTGCAGCAGTATCAACACTAAAATAAAAGTAAATTCATTATTTTAAAACCTAATATGTGAATTTAAAAAGATATTACTAGGAATAATGTGTGACAGCTGTCTTCACAGTCTAGCTCTTTGAACTGAATGACAAACAAATCTAAAAACATGCCCAGTATTCTGTACCAATCTGCAGAAAGATTGTCTAACATTGGATAGATCATTACAGATGAAGTGCAGACTATCAATCATCTGGATTTGTTGTTCCTAAAAAAAATAAGCCTATTATTCAAGAGGCAGGATTTCCATTTCTATTACTATCTTTCTGCCTGCAGGACTGTGTTACTCAGAATACAATATATGCATTAGACAGAAATGCCCAGTTTAGAGAAATAGCATCATCTTCTCTAACTTGCTAGGAACAGGATGGCAAAATTATCAGTATACTAAAGATAGAGTTTAAAAGGAAGTTTTACAAGTTTTATTTTTATTATCCACATTAAAACATTCTGTAATTTCTTTCCTAAATTATTTTCCTAAATGTAATTATGTATTCATTTATTTATTCATTTATAAATATTCATTAGCACCTAATCTGTGCCACACATTGTGCTTGGCACTAGAAATATAACACTGAACATAATATTAATAGTTGCAATTAATTTAAAGAGATAGTTACAATGAACAGACATAATAAATAATCTATAATTGTAATTAATATAGAGACAAGTACCAGTCCTCTCAGAAACTGTAAGGGCATAAGGACATTTATTTGTTTACTTATCAATATTTTTTAAAAAATAAATTTTATTGTGTGTATGTCAGGTATACACCAAGTTATTGGATACATATAGATAGCAAAAAATTACTATAGTGAAACAAATTAACATATTCATCACCTCACATACCCACTTTTTGTGTGTTTTATGGCAAGAGCAGATAAAATCCCTCCATTTAGCTTGAATCCTGTATATACCATTTTTCACATATACTTCTCATATTGTACATTAGATCTCTAGACTTGTTTATACCACATAACTGTTACTTTGTAGCTTCTGAAATACATGCCCCGTATATCCATCCATTGTTGAAAGTGGAGTATTGGTTTTCTACTATTGTTACATTGCTATCTCTTTTTCTATTTATGTCAATTAATATTTGCTTTATGTATTTATGTGTTCCAGAGTTGGATGTATATAATTTCACAATGGTTATGTCCTTTGGATGAACCGATTCCTGTATCATTAAATAATTACCATTTTTGTCTTTTGTGAGAGTTTTTGGCTTGAAGTCTATTTTATCAGATGTAAGTATAGCCACCCCTTCTCTCTTTTGGTTACCATGTGCATGGAATATCTTCTTCCATCCTTTCACTTTCAGCCTCTGTGTGTCTTTAATGGTTAAGTGGGTCTTTTGTAGGCAGCATGTAGTTGGATCTAAATTTTTTTTTTATTATACTTTAAGTTTTAGGGTACATGTGCACATTGTGCAGGTTAGTTACATATGCATACATGTGCCATGCTGGTGTGCTGCACCCACTAACTCGTCATCTAGCATTAGGTATATCTCCCAATGCTATCCCTCCCCTTCCCCCCACCCCACAACAGTCCCCAGAGTGTGATATTCCCCTTCCTATGTCCATGTGATCTCATTGGTCAATTCCCACCTATGCGTGAGAATATGCAGTGTTTGGTTTTTTGTTCTTGCGATAGTTTACTGAGAATGATGATTTCCAATTTCATTCATGTCCCTACAAAGGACATGAACTCATCATTTTTTATGGCTGCATAGTATTCCATGGTGTATATGTGCCACATTTTCTTAATCCAGTCTGTCATTGTTGGACATTTGGGTTGGTTCCAAGTCTTTGCTATTGCGAATAATGCCGCAATAAACATACGTGTGCATGTGTCTTTATAGCAGCATGATTTATAGTCCTTTGGGTATATACCCAGTCATGGGATGGCTGGGTCAAATGGTATTTCCAGTTCTAGATCCCTGAGGAATCGCCACACTGACTTCCACAATGGTTGAACTAGTTTACAGTCCCACCAACAGTGTAAAAGTGTTCCTATTTCTCCACATCCTCTCCAGCACCTGTTGTTTCCTGACTTTTTAATGATTGCCATTCTAACTGGTGTGAGATGGTATCTCATTGTGGTTTTGATTTGCCTTTCTCTGATGATGAGCATTTTTTCATGTGTTTTTTGGCTGCATAAATGTCTTCTTTTTTTTTTTTTTTTTTTTTTTTTTTTTGAGATGGAGTCTCGCTCTGTCACCCAGGCTGGAGTGCAGTGGCGGGATCTCGGCTCACTGCAAGCTCCGCCTCCCGGGTTCACGCCATTCTCCTGCCTCAGCCTCCCAAGTAGCTAGGACTACAGGCGCCCGCCACTACGCCCGGCTATTTTTTGTAGTTTTAGTAGAGACGGGGTTTCACCGTTTTAGCCGGGATGGTCTCGATCTCCTGACCTCGTGATCCGCCCGCCTCGGCCTCCCAAAGTGCTGGGATTACAGGCGTGAGCCACCGCGCCCGGCCCATAAATGTCTTCTTTTGAGAAATGTCTGTTCATGTCCTTCGCCCACTTTTTGATGGGGTTGTTTGTTTTTTTCTTGTAAATTTGTTTGAGTTCACTGTAGATTCTGGATATTAGCCCTTTGTCAGATGAGTAGGTTGCAAAAATTTTCTCCCATTTTGTAGGTTTCCTGTTCACTCTGACGGTAGTTTCTTTTGCTGTGCAGAAGCTCTTTAGTTTAATTAGATCCCATTTGTCAATTTTGTCTTTTGTCGCCATTGCTTTTGGAGTTTTAGACATGAAGTCCTTGACCATGCCTATGTCCTGAATGGTAATGCCTAGGTTTTCTTCTAGGGTTTTTATGGTTTTAGGTCTAATGTTAAAGTCTTTAATCCATCTTGAATTGATTTTTGTATAAGGTGTAAGGAAGGGATCCAGTTTCAGCTTTCTACATATGGCTAGCCAGTTTTCCCAGCACCATTTATTAAATAGGGAATCCTTTCCCCATTGCTTGTTTTTCTCAGGTTTGTCAAAGATCAGATAGTTGTAGATATGCGGCGTCATTTCTGAGGGCTCTGTTCTGTTCCATTGATCTATATCTCTGTTTTGGTACCAGTACCATGCTGTTTTGGTTACTGTAGCCTTGTAGTATAGTTTGAAGTCAGGTAGTGTGAGGCCTCCAGCTTTGTTCTTTTGGCTTAGGATTGACTTGGTGACACGGGCTCTTTTTTGGTTCCATATGAACTTTAAAGTAGTTTTTTCCAATTCTGTGAAGAAAGTCATTGGTAGCTTGATGGGGATGGCATTGAATCTGTAAATTACCTTGGGCAGTATGGCCATTTTCATGATATTGATTCTTCCTACCCATGAGCATGGAATGTTCTTCCATTTGTTTGTATCCTCTTTTATTTTGTTGAGCAGTGGTTTGTAGTTCTCCTTGAAGAGGTCCTTCACATCCCTTGTAAGTTGGATTCCTAAGTATTTTATTCTCTTTGAAGCAATTGTGAATGGGAGTTCACTAATGATTTGGCTCTCTGTTTGTCTGTTGTTGGTGTATAAGAATGCTTGTGATTTTTGTACATTGATTTTGTATCCTAAGACTTTGCTGAAGTTGCTTATCAGCTTAAGGAGATTTTGGGCTGAGACAATGGGGTTTTCTAGATATACAATCATGTCGTCTGCAAACAGGGACAATTTGACTTCCTCTTTTCCTAATTGAATACCCTTTATTTCCTTCTCCTGCCTAATTGCCCTGGCCAGAACTTCCAACACTATGTTGAATAGGAGTGGTGAGAGAGGGCATCCCTGTCTTGTGCCAGTTTTCAAAGGGAATGCTTCCACTTTTTTGCCCATTCAGTATGATATTGGCTGTGGGTTTGTCATAGATAGCTCTTATTATTTTGAAATATGTCCCATCAATACCTAATTTATTGAGAGTTTTTAGCGTGAAGCATTGTTGAATTTCGTCAAAGGCTTTTTCTGCATCTTTTGAGATAATCATGTGGTTTTTGTCTTTGGCTCTGTTTATATGCTGGATTACATTTATTGATTTGCATATATTGAACCAGCCTTGCATCCCAGGGATGAAGCCCACTTGATCATGGTGGATAAGCTTTTTGATGTGCTGCTGGATTCGTTTTGCCAGTATTTTATTGAGGATTTTTGCATCAATGTTCATCAAGGATATTGGTCTAAAATTCTCTTTTTTTGTTGTGTCTCTGCCTGGCTTTGGTATCAGAATGATGCTGGCCTCATAAAATGAGTTAGGGAGGATTCCCTCTTTTTCTATTGATTGGAATAGTTTCAGAAGGAATGGTACCAGTTCCTCCTTGTACCTCTGGTAGAATTCGGCTGTGAATCCATCTGGTCCTGGACTCTTTTTGGTTGGTAAGCTATTGATTATTGCCACAATTTCAGCTCCTGTTATTGGTCTATTCAGAGATTCAGCTTCTTCCTGGTTTAGTCTTGGGAGAGTGTATGTGTCGAGGAATTTATCCATTTCTTCTAGATTTTCTAGTTTATTTGTGTAGAGGTGTTTGTAGTATTCTCTGATGGTAGTTTGTATTTCTGTGGGATCGGTGGTGATATCCCCTTTATCATTTTTTATTGCGTCTATTTGATTCTTCTCTCTTTTTTTCTATATTAGTCTTGCTAGCGTTCAATCAATTTTGTTGATCATTTCAAAAAACCAGCTCTTGGATTCATTAATTTTTTGAAGGGTTTTTTTGTGTCTCTATTTCCTTCAGTTCTGCTCTGATTTTAGTTATTTCTTGCCTTCTGCTAGCTTTTGAATGTGTTTGCTCTTGCTTTTCTAGTTCTTTTAATTGTGATGTTAGGATGTCAATTTTGGATCTTTCCTGCTTTCTCTTGTGGGCATTTAGTGCTATAAATTTCCCTCTACTCACTGCTTTGAATACGTCCCAGAGATTCTGGTATGTTGTGTCTTTGTTCTCGTTGGTTTCAAAGAACATCTTTATTTCTGCCTTCATTTCATTATGTACCCAGTAGTCATTCAGGAGGAGGTTGTTCAGTTTCGATGTAGTTGAGCAGTTTTGAGTGAGATTCTTAACCCTGAATTCTAGTTTGATTGCACTGTGGTCTGAGAGATAGTTTGTTATAATTTCTGTTCTTTTACATTTGCTGAGGAGAGCTTTACTTCCAACTATGTGGTCAATTTTGGAATAGGTGTGGTATGGTGCTGAAAAAAATGTATATCCTGTTGATTTGGGGTGGAGAGTTCTGTAGATGTCTATTAGGTCCGCTTGGTGCAGAGCTGAGTTCAATTCCTGGGTATCCTTGTTGACTTTCTGTCTCGTTGATCTGTCTAATGTTGACAGTGGGGTGTTAAAGTCTCCCATTATTAATGTGTGGGAGTCTAAGTCTCTTTGTAGGTCACTCAGGACTTGCTTTATGAATCTTGGTGCTCCTGTATTGGGTGCATATATATTTAGGATAGTTAGCTCTTCTTGTTGAATTGATCCCTTTACCATTATGTAATGGCTTTCTTTGTCTCTTTTGATCTTTGTTGGTTTAAAGTCTGTTTTATCAGAGACTAGCATTGCAACCCCTGCCTTTTTTTGTTTTCCATTGGCTTGGTAGATCTTCCTCCATCCTTTTATTTTGAGCCTATGTGTGTCTCTGCACGTGAGATGGGTTTCCTGAATACAGCACACTGATGGGTCTTGACTCTTTATCCAATTTGTCAGTCTGTGTCTTTTAATTGGATCATTTAGTCCATTTACATTTAAAGTTAATATTGTTATGTGTGAATTTGCTCCTGTCATTATGATGTTAGCTGGTGATTTTGCTCGTTAGCTGATGCAGTTTCTTCCTAGTCTGGATGGTCTTTACATTTTGGCATGATTTTGCACCGGCTGGTACTGGTTGTTCCTTTCCATGTTTAGTGCTTCCTTCAGGAGCTCTTTTAGGGCAGGCCTGGTGGTGACAAAATCTCTCAGCATTTGCTTGTCTGTAAAATATTTTATTTCTCCTTCACTTATGAAGCTTAGTTTGGCTGGATATGAAATTCTGGGTTGAAAATTCTTTTCTTTAAGAATGTTGAATATTGGCCCCCACTCTCTTCTGGCTTGTAGGATTTCTGCCAAGAGATCCGCTGTTAGTCTGATGGGCTTCCCTTTGAGGGTAACCCGACCTTTCTCTCTGGCTGCCCTTAACATTTTTTCCTTCATTTCAACTTTGGTGAATCTGACAATTTTGTGTCTTGGAGTTGCTCTTCTCGAGGAGTATCTTTGTGGCGTTTTCTGTATTTCCTGAATCTGAACGTTGGCCTGCCTTGCTAGATTGGGGAAGTTCTCCTGGATAATATCCTGCACAGTGTTTTCCAACTTGGTTCCATTCTCCCCATCACTTTCAGGTACACCAATCAGACGTAGATTTGGTCTTTTCACATAGTCCCATATTTCTTGGAGGCTTTGCTCATTTCTTTTTATTCTTTTTTCTCTAAACTTCCCTTCTCGCTTCATTTCATTCATTTCGTCTTCCATTGCTGATACCCTTTCTTCCAGTTGATCGCATCGGCTCCTGAGGCTTCTGCATTCTTCACGTAGTTCTTGAGCCTTGGTTTTCAGCTCCATCAGCTCCTTTAAGCACTTCTCTGTATTGGTTATTCTAGTTATACATTCTTCTAAATTTTTTTCAAAGTTTTCAACTTCTTTGCCTTTGGTTTGAATGTCCTCCCATAGCTCAGAGTAATTTGATCCTCTGAAGCCTTCTTCTCTCAGCTCGTCAAAGTCATTCTCCATCTGGCTTTGTTCCGTTGCTGGTGAGGAACTGCTTTCCTTTGGAGGAGGAGAGGCACTCTGCGTTTTAGAGTTTCCAGTTTTTCTGTTCTGTTTTTTCCCCATCTTTGTGGTTTTATCTACTTTTGGTCTTTGATGATGGTGATGTACAGATGGGGTTTTGGTGTGGATGTCCTTTCTGTTTGTTAGTTTTCCTTCTAACAGACAGGACCCTCAGCTGCAGGTCTGTTGGAATACCCTGCCGTGTGAGGTGTCAGTGTGCCCCTGCTGGGGGTGCCTCCCAGTTAGGCTGCTCGGGGGTCAGGGGTCAGGGACCCACTTGAGGAGGCAGTCTGCCCGTTCTCAGATCTCCAGCTGCATGGTGGGAGAACCACTGCTCTCTTCAAAGCTGTCAGACAGGGACATTTAAGTCTGCAGAGGTTACTGCTGTCTTTTTGTTTGTCTGTGCCCTGCCCCCAGAGGTGGAGCCTACAGAGGCAGGCAGGCCTCCTTGAGCTGTGGTGGGCTCCGCCCAGTTCGAGCTTCCCGGCTGCTTTGTTTACCTAATCAAGCCTGGGCAATGGCGGGAGCCCCTCCCCCAGCCTCGCTGCCACCTTGCAGTTTGATCTCAGACTGCTGTGCTAGCAATCAGTGAGACTCCGTGGGCGTAGGACCCTCCGAGCCAGGTGCGGGATATAATCTCCTGGTGCGCCATTTTTTAAGCCTGTAGGAAAAGCGCAGTATTCGGGTGGGAATGACCCGATTTTCCAGGTGCCGTCCATCACCCCTTTCTTTGACTCAGAAAGGGAACTCCCTGACCCCTTGCACTTCCCAAGTGAGGCAATGCCTCGCCCTACTTCCGCTTGTGCACGGTGCAGGCACCCACTGACCTGCGCCCACTGTCTGGCTCTCCCTAGTGAGATGAACCTGGTACCTCAGATGGAAATGCAGAAATCACCCGTCTTCTGTGGCGCTCATGCTGGGAGCTGTAGACCGGAGCTGTTCCTATTCGGCCATCTTGGCTCCTCCCTCTGGATCTAAATTTTTATTCATTCAGCCACTCTATGTCTTTTGACTGGATAATTTAATCAATTTAAATTTAAGTTTGCTATTGATATTGCATATTGACTTACTAGTTATTTGTTTGACTTACTAGACATTTGTTATTTGTTGTCTGGTTGTTTTGTAGCTCCTTTGTTCCTTTCTTCTTCTCTTGTTGCCTACCTTTAGTGATTTAATAATTTTCTCTAATGCTAGGCATTGGTTCCTTTTTAAAAAAAAAATCAGTTTCATATCTTCTGCAGTTTTTTTGTTTTGTGGTTATCATGAGACATATATAAAGCATTTTATAGTTATATTTTACTATTTTAAGCAGATTAGAATTTTTCTGTCATGTACAAACACTCTAGACTCTTATTCCCCCCCAGTCACAACTTATGTTTTTGATACAATTTAAGTATTTTTATAATGTGTATTCCTTAATAACTTACTGTAGCTTTAGTCATTTTTGATCATTTTGACTTTTAACCCTCATGCTAGATATGTGTATGATTTACACACCTTCATTATAGTATTATAGTATTCTGGATTTGAGTATGCGTTTACTGCTACCAGTGAGTTTTATACCTTCATATGCATTCATGATAGTAATTATCATCCTTTTGTTTATGCTATAAGAACCCTTTTGGCATTTCTTATAAGGAGGGCCTAGTGGTAATGAATTTCCTCAGCTTTTGCTTGCCTCTGAAAGACTTTTTTTTTTTCATTTCTAAATAATGGCTTTGCTGGTAATAGTATTCTTGGCAGACATTTTTTTAAGCAGCACTTTGACTATAGTATCTCAATCCTCAATCAATGTCAGTAAGTGACTTGACAGTTTTCTCTTGCTGTTTTTTTTCCTCCAGTCTCTAAGCCTTGCCATTTTACTGCTTAAAAAATTATCTATTTGTCTTTGACTGTTGACAATTTGATTATAATATACCTCAGGGAGGACCTCTTTGGGATGAACCTGTTTGGAACTTTGAGCCTCATGAATCTTGATGTCTGTACTTCTACCAAGTCTTGGAAAGTTTTCAGCAATTATTTTATTAAGAGATTAAAGAATACAAAATCACAGATAGATAGGAGGAATAAATTCTAGTGTTCTAAACCACTATAGGATAACTATAGTCAACAATACTATTATGTTTTGAATATAGTGTATTGAAACAATATAGTTTCAAATAGCTAGAAGGAGGAAATTGAATGTTCCCAACACAAAGAAATGATAAATTTTTGAGATGATGGATATGCTGATTACCCTGATCTGATCACTGTACATTGTATTTCTTGAAACATCAAGATGTACTTCATGAATATGTCCAATTATTATTTGTCTATTAAAAAAATAAAAATATAAAAGTAAGCTTTTTGTCCCTTTCTCTTTCTGCCTTCTTGACCTCTCATAATATAAATATTTGTTTGTTTAGTGATGTCCCATAAGTTCCTTAGGCTGTCTTCCCTCTTTTTTTCCTTCTTTTTTTCTTCCCTGACTCATTTCATAACACCAATCCTCAAGTTCACAGATTCTTTATTCAGGTCAAACTAGTCTACTGTTGAAGTTCTCAAATGTATATTTTTATTTCATTGATTGAATTATTCAGCTCCAAGATTTCTGTTTTGTTCTCTTTTAATAATATCTTTGTTGAGTTTCTCATTTAGATCCTATATTGTTTTCCTGATTTCATTGAATTGCATATTTGCATTCTTTTATATCTCATTGACTATCCTTAAGGTTATTATTTTGAATTCCTTTTTAGGCAACTTGTAAATTTTTATTTCTTTGGGATCATTTACTGGATAATCATTATATTTCTTAGGTAGTGTCATGTTTTCTTGTTTTTCTTCATGCTTTTTGTGTCTCCGTATTGATGTATTGATGTCTGTGCATTTGGTAGGGCAGTCACCTCTTCTAAACTTTACACAGCAGCTATCTCAGTAGAAGAATTCCACTTACAGATGGGTTTGAGGTTGCTGATTGGGCAGGATGTAGTGGCTCTTGTTCTGTGTGGATATGGTGGTGAAGCCTTCATGCAACTTACTCACTTGTGACCAATGTTAGCAATAACTGTGGAGGCTTGGTGTTCTAGGCTGGAGGAGTTTGTGGCAGCGATTGCATAGGTTATAAGGACAAGAACTTAAGGGTTCCTCCTGTTCTTGTCTTTCTCAGAGTGGAAAGTTTTAGCTCATGGGATTTCTCCTGGTGTTGAGGCTTACATGGATCACAGGCAGCCACAGTGGAGGATCCAGGGCACAGGTGCTCAGAACAGCTGCAAAACCATGTTCCTGGGCTCAGGATCTTGCAAAACTACTGTAATACCTGGGACTTGAGGTGTGAGTTCACTCTCCAAGGCATGAATTGCCTTGGAGATAACTCTCCCACTTATTTGGGGTCTGTTGCTCTGATGCATATTCCAGTAGCTCAGGCCCTAGGGGTTGGGGTGCAGCTGTGGTTCTGACTGTGGAGAAAAGAGCACAGCACTGGCATGGCTTCAGGGAAGAAGGGGTCTTCTGGAGGCTCAGGCCATGGAAATAAGACACATCTGCAATTTAGGACCTGACAGCAATACGGCACAGTGGCAGCTCAGGCTCCAGGTGATGAGGTGCCACGCAATAGTGACTCTGGACCCTGAATGGTAGAACAAGCCAGTAGTTCAGGCTTTGTGAGATCAGATGCAGCAGGAGCAAGGGCCCAGGAATGGTAAGATTCTTCTGGGCCCCGGGAGTCAGGGAGAAGTGTAGCACAAACTTCACTTCCTAGAGAGACAGGGTGGATCAGCATCTCAGAATGAAGAAGCCTAGTTCAGTTCCAGATAGGCAGAGTTCCGTGAATGTTTGGCCTGGAGGATGGGGTGCTACAGCTCAGCCAAAGCTATGATTTCCTGGGACACAAGACACTGCATCTTCTCAGCTCCAGAAGTGGGGCTACATGATTCAGTGGAGTCTCTGGCTCCTGAGTAGTGGAGTGCTGTGTCAGTTGTGGTTCTGGGAGGTGCAACTACTCCAATGTGCCAGAGCCTCAGAGCCCTTTGGTGTTGGGGTTCTTCCTTACCTGTGGTGCAAGTGTCAGGGCAACTGCTGTGGTGTGCAGTAGGCCTTAGGTCCTTGGGAGGCACAGCACTACTTCAGCTGTGTCGCTGGGAGAGGGACTGCTCTGGTAGTTTAAAGCTTTGGCTTCCCAGGGGGCAGGGTACCATTTCAGCTTGGCCCTAAGGAGCAAGTACACCAGCAATTTGGATGAGGTGGGTGGAGCAGCTCTGTGGTAGTTTGGCCCTAGTGGGTAGGGCATCGAAACAGTTCTGCTCAAGGATGGTGTGCTACCAGCTGGAATTGGCATAATGGTGGCCGAGCCTCAGGGATGAAGGGATGCAATGGCTACTCACCCCCAAAACAGGACACAATGCTGTTCTAAGATGGTGTAGAGCAGTAGCAGCATGGGCCACAGTGGAGTGGGGCTCATCATTGGCTCCTTCTCTGTGGGTAGCTCAGTGTGTGGATGCCAGGAGCTTCCTCAGCTGGGCTCACAGGTTGTGAGGACTGCAGGAGTCTCAGTAGTGAGGACTGCAGGTGTCTCTGGTGTTGATGATAGTTGCTGGGTCCTCTTATTATCTTTTCTCCACAGCGAGAAGTCTCTCCTGGCTCTGAGATGATCTCAACTGGGGGATGGTATGACAAAGATGAGATGTTTCCTTTCCTTCTCTACGCAGCCATCCTGGGTTTTTGAGCTCTACGGGATTTCTGCTGCTTCTTTGCTCTTCCCTGATGTTCTCCTTTAGTTATTTTGGTAAAAATGTAGTTGTTGATGCATTGTTTGGTGTTTATTTGTTGGAGGGAAGACTCTTAGGAACTTCCAGTTGACCATCTTGACACAGGTATCTGACAAATATATAAATAATCACAGAGCAATAATACAAAGAGAAACAATTCAGTTTACAAATTGAACACATTGACACACACCAACACCCCAAAAGAAGATATGTGAATGACCAGCAGCTTATTAAAAGGTGTTCAACATCTTTAGCTATCAAAGGATTGCAGTGAAATAGCTAGTACTTCCAGCAATTTGGAGGGCTAAAATTATAAAGACTGATACCAAAGGTTGACAATGATCTGGAACAATAACGTTCACTTCTCAGGTAAACAGTTACTAAATAAATAAGTAGTGAATTACATTTAAATGTTTATGTATGTTTCATTATAAAAAAATGTGTTTTGGAAGTCTCCCTTTTAAATAAAATGAGATGCATACAAACACATGCATAGGTACAATCCTTTAGATTTGATCCCAAAATGAATATTGATCAATTTTCTGCATAGTACCAGATTAGTGTGGAAAAACAGAACATTTTATGGAAGATTTGAAAGCACTAATGAAGCAGTAGCCATATTATTTTTATATTCAGGATGTTGATGCACCAGGCATTATAGCAGCACACACATGCTGCCATTTATCTGATGGTTTGACTTGTTGCTTTGGTGGAGCAACCAAGCCAGTAGCTCCTCCAGTTGATCTCATCCAATAGATCTGATCCTTTATATGATCTGACTCTTGAACCAGGTGTATGTTAATTGCTAATGAAAGACACCGGGTTTATGGCAGGTCATCGCCAGCATCAAATGTGGAAGCTTAGATTCCAGTCTGCCCTCATCGGTTTTTGCTTATACTTGCAGGCTCTCTTTTGTTCTTGATCCCTTTCATACCACCTTCACTTCTTATTCATCTTCCCTTCCCAACTTCCTGCCCTGCTGACTTCAGGCCCCAAAATCAGATGAAGTATGAGCTATAGCATCACTGAAACTACTTTCAGTTTTCAAAGTTGTGTAGGGTCAAATTCCTGTAGAAAATACTTTATTGTAGATTACTTCTATGGTCTGGCTTCTCTGATTGAACCGTGACTGATAAATTCACCACCCCTATGATCCAACAACTGCACTCCTACATATTTTCACAAGAAAAATGAAAATGTATGTCCATAAATGGCCCTATAGAAAATGTTCTAGCATATTTATTCATAAGGACCAAAAACTAGAAACAATCCATATGTTCATCAATAGGAAAATAGGCAAGTAAAATACTTATACATGCAGTCACATAGATTTATCTCAAAAAAAATTATGTTGAATGAAAAAAATGAAAAAAGTACTTTATTATTCCATTTGTGTAAAATCCCAATATGGGAAAAAAGTAACTTACTGCAAGAGAAATAAAAGTGTATCTATCCCTATGAGATGAGATCAGATTTCACTAGAAGAGGGCACAAGGGAACTTTCTGGGTTATAAAAATATTTTACATTTTGAGTGGAGAGCCAGTTTCACAGGGGTGCATTTGTCAAAACTCACTGAATATACACATTGATCTGGTCAGATTACTGAATGCAAATTTTACCTTAATAAAAATGTGATAATAAAAGTGATAGAATATTATGTATTTTATAATTTAAGTAAATGTTATGAAAATATGAGTAAAGAAGGAATTAATTCTAACGGGGGAAATTAGGGAAAATTGGTGGGAGGAGGAGCACGTGCTAGAGCTTTAAGAATAAATAGGTATTGTCCTGGCAGGTAAAGTTGAGGGGAAAATCAGAAGAGTTAGCATGATAAAAGGCAAAGTGGCATGCAGGTTCACAGAAGAGTGGAAACTTCACGGAACAGTAGGGATTTCAATATAATTAAAATGTACACAGGGGAAGATATTAGACTAAGCCAAATGTAGCTAGAAAATTAAGTAGAGGCAGGTTATAAAGGGAAGATGATATATACTAATAAACTTTAATGTTATTCTATCAGCAGTGAATTATTATCAGTGGCTTTTAAATAGAGCAAAATATTGAAGGAAACTAATTTGTATTTTAGAAAGGTAAACTCATCAGTACCCAGTACAGTTGGGTTATTGTGGATAGACAAAAAACAGTAAGACTAGTTAGGATATTTGTATAACAACCCAACAAGAGATAATAATAATCTGGATGGAATAAATGATTGTAAAAAGAGGGGCAGATATTAAGATGTTTGAGATATACAACTATCATAATTTAGTTAGCAACTGGACTTGAAGATGAGAAGAAGAGTCATATGGCTTCAATGAACATGAATTGATCAACTAGATTCGGTAATTAACTAGATGCAGATGGAAAAGGAGGTAATTTTTTAGGAATAGAAATTAACTTAGCATTAGATGTAATATCAAGGGGCCTATAAATGAATTCCAAGTGAAGGTGTTCAATGGCAATTAAATCGGTATCTTGTTTGATATAAAGCAGAGCAGAGTTCTAGATATATTTGCATAATTTTTCCTGTTTCTCTGGAACAAGAGGAGAAAGTAAATAATGTAAGTAACCTAGGATTGCAATTGACTCTAGCTTTGGCATACAGTATGGAAGTTTAGGGTTTTAGGGAGAAGAATATTGAAATAGATGGCCAATAGGTACAGAATGTAATGACAGCCCAAAGTATTCAGGCCAATAAATAAATAAAGACTTGCATGAAGTGAAAAATCAAATGAATAGAAATTCCAATGCATACAGGAAGAAAATGCATAAAGGGGGATTATAATATTTATTCAATCTTGATAGTACATTAGGATAACTCACAAAGATAAAATTGATGTCACAATGCCTGGCTAATGAAGACTTTGCAATGCAAATGAAGGGGCAATAAACACACAGATTGGTAAAGGCTATAGTAAAAGTAAACTTTAGATATTATGTGAGCATATAGAAAGTCTGTCTAATCTAGACTTTTATGAGTCCTTTCTCTAAGGAGAATTTAGCAAAGCCTGAATAAGTGCCTAGTGTAAAAGTTAGAATATAAAACCAGTTTCCTTATTCCCAACCTCTCAAAATAAAATAAGTCTATAACATGGTGGTAATAGGCTATTTCCAAATTTTCACAGTCCAGGATTTTATGCACTTCTCAAAAATTTTGGCCACAAGCCCCCTATTTATTAAGCTAATTAAAAATCTACTTTGTCTTTAATACATAGCAAAATGTTCTTTGATTTATAATTCCTTCTTTTTAATGGATTAATAAGCAGAGCATATGAGCATCCAGTTTACTGAATTAGACTGTAAATATATTTCTCATGGTCATTAAAATGGAGTTTCTCTGTATGTTTTCTATTAACGTAAAAGTTAACTTTCAAGCCTAAAACAGAAATCTTCTAGAATATAGCCTAATCCAGTGAATGATTTTAATTTTCAGGTTATTTTTTTGAAGAGAAAAAAGTCCTATGTCCATAATTTCACCTCACCTTCACTAGAGCTTAACTGAATACTAAAAGTTCTACTAATCAAATCATGAGTACACCAATCAACTGAGAGGCTCTGGACACAACTAACACTTAATGATGCTTGAGATTAAATTGAAGATCGAATGGGCAGGGGTGGAATGTGTATATTCACATGTCATCATTGGCCAGTTTTGGTTACATTTTTGCTTGAACAATCATTTAATTTTATAAATCTGTCAAATTTTAGTTTTAATAATGATTACAACTATTTGTTTGGCTTGTATAGACAGAGCTAGGATTTTATATATATAGATCTATCACATATGGCTTTCTTAATATTTTTGATGATAATATTTATTCATAAGACTATAACATTCAGCAGAGAATATTCTATGTTTATTTTACTCAGAAATGTGTCCCTGGTACTTGGTAGATTTTCTGGCAGATAGAAAACCCTTGGGAAATATTTGTTGAATAAATGATTTATGTTTAAGAAGAAATGGAAACAGTATTACTGGCAATAATTATTGAAAAAATTTGAGGCTAGTCTAGTAAGTTGTTTTCCAAATGTGCTGAACCATTAGTATATAGAAAATATAGGACAATCCATTAAGCATATACCAATTATATAATAAGCTGAAGTTGAATGACCAGCCAGCTTAGACAGAACATTTAAAATACTGGCCCCAAGAAATGGGGGAACAGGTGCCACACTCTTTGCATTTGGTTTTTGGCAATTTTTCCAGGCTTGTTGCCCCTCATAGGTTTGGACCTACTTGTTAGTCAACTTTCCAGTCTGTGGCTCATTTCATTTCATACTGTAGTGATTTGCCAAACCTTCTTTTACATTGGCAATCCAAATTCATATTGTTTCCATATTTTTTCCAGTGGTCCTTTAGTACGACACTCCAAACCTGTGTGCCAGAGTAAAGGGCAATCTACTATATATTGGAGACGTTTCTCTGAGATAGCCAATGGTTATCAAATTCCGATTATTAGGAAATTAGGGAGAGTTAGACAGTACCAGGAAGTCCATGTATACGGCAAAGACAATAAGCAAAACAATGGGTAATTCAGACAGGAAACCAAATTTTAGTCTACACTATAAGCAGTAAGAATAATAGAAGGTTCCATAACAAGAACAGTCATGAGCACCATAGATTTGTCAAGACCTCAGATGCCAAACCATCTGCCCTATTCTGGCATTTGAGTGAAATACATTATCTGTATCTCCATTCTCAAAGGTTGAACTAAAGTTTTGATGGATTTTACTGAATTTATGATTTAAGCAATAGGATATTTTGACTACTTTAGACATGTCCTGAAAGAGAAAAAGACTAGAAAATAAAATAGGGATTCTTAAAATTAAAAATACAATCACAACCTGTAAGGATTCAGCAGTAACTAGACAACACCCTTAGCTAAATGGTGTGTGAAACAATCTACAACTAATGAGGTGAGAGTTTCAAGTAGGTTTGATCAAAGCTCATACATAGACAATGCCAGTAAAGAAAAATGTCATGAACAAATGTTCTGAAAATGGCTCAAGGAAGGAACCTGAAGGAAGAAGAAAGAAATCAAACAAAATTAGCAATATTAGTAGTGTTTAAAAGCAGAGCAAAAAAAAAAAAAGACATCACAAAAAGGAAACTAAGAAAGCTCAAATGACAATTGAAAGGATGCAGCATTTCTAAGCTTGAGGGTGTTTTCAGTTAGTCAGTAGCTATCTCAGCTAGCTTTCCTGGCCAGCTTTTCTTCTAGCATGAAAGTCTACATTTACTCATTCCTAAAGTTTGAAGGTCCTGACCTTCAGAATCTGCATCCTTCGGGTTCCCTCTCTTTATTTATTTATTTATTTATTATTATACTTTAAGTTTTAGGGTACATGTGCACATTGTGCAGGTTAGTTACATACGTATACATGTGCCATGCTAGTGTGCTGCACCCACTAGCTCGTCATCTAGCATTAGGTATATCTCCCGATGCTATCCCTCCCCCCCTCCCCACACCCCACAACAGTCCCCAGAGTGTGATGTTCCCCTTCCTGTGTCCATGTGATCTCATTGGTCAATTCCCACCTATGAGTGAGAATATGCGGTGTTTGGTTTTTTGTTCTTGCAATAGTTTACTGAGAATGATGGTTTCCAATTTCATCCATGTCCCTACAAAGGACATGAACTCATCATTTTTTATGGCTGCATAGTATTCCATGGTGTATATGTGCCACATTTTCTTAATCCAGTCTATCATTGTTGGACATTTGGGTTGGTTCCAAGTCTTTGCTATTGTGAATAATGCCGCAATAAACATATGTGTGCATGTGTCTTTATAGCAGCATGATTTATAGTCCTTTGGGTATATACCCAGTAATGGGATGGCTGGGTCAAATGGTATTTCCAGTTCTAGATCCCTCCATACTACAAGGCTACAGTAACCAAAACAGCATGGTACTGGTACCAAAACAGAGATATAGATCACTGGAACAGAACAGAGCCCTCAGAAATAACGCCGCATATCTACAACTATCTGATCTTTGACAAACCTGAGAAAAACAAGCAATGGGGAAAGGATTCCCTATTTAATAAATGGTGCTGGGAAAACTGGCTAGCCATATGTAGAAAGCTGAAACTGGATCCCTTCCTTACACCTTATACAAAAATCAATTCAAGATGGATTAAAGACTTACATGTTAGACCTAAAACCATAAAAACCCTAGAAGAAAACCTAGGCATTACCATTCAGGACATAGGCATGGGCAAGGACTTCATGTCTAAAACACCAAAAGCAATGGCAACAAAAGACAAAATTGACAAATGGGATCTAATTAAACTAAAGAGCTTCTGCACAGCCAAAGAAACTACCGTCAGAGTGAACAGGCAACATACAAAATGGGAGAAAATTTTCGCAACCTACTCATCTGACAAAGGGCTAATATCCAGAATCTACAATGAACTCAAACAAATTAACAAGAAAAAAACAAACAACCCCATCAAAAAGTGGGCAAAGGACATGAACAGACACTTCTCAAAAGAAGACATTTATGCAGCCAAAAAACACATGAAAAAATGCTCACCATCACTGGCCATCAGAGAAATGCAAATCAAAACCACAATGGGTTCCCTCTCTTTTGAAATGAAACCTCAAATTCTGACCTACATTGATTTGAATCTTGCAAGTTATTTTTCTATAAACTGGCTCTCTAGTTGCAATTTTTTTTTGCACAAATAGTACCTAGTCCTGGTAGCCATGTTTCCAGTACAGATCCTTCCTATTTGGTCCTATTTTGTTGTATCAATTTGCCTGGACAAATTATTAGACCCAATAAATTATCTGGCTCCCCTGTTTTGATGCTTGATATTCACAACATTTAGGTTTAATGAATTGATGCACTAGTTGTGTGTGTTTGTGGAGGGGAGCAGCATCCCAATACTTTGAGAGGAAGCAAAAAAAATACTGAAATCTTGAAAATATCTAGCCCTTCCCCTTTCTTTTAAGCCTGTTGTAGAACTGAAGTACAGCAAGTACACTCTTTGGAAGGCAGATAGTTTGTAATTCCCTATAAAATACTTCCTGTTGTCAAGTTGCTCCTCCTCTATGCATCCCATACCTGCTGTTAATAGAGTGGAATGCCATTTTCCCCCCAAACCGCAGAGTCTGTGTTCAGAATTGCACAATGTTTTGTTATTGATCAACGCTACCAGCTATCTTGAATATAGAACACAGATAAAATTCAAGTGACTAAAAAGATGAAACAAAGCTTGAAGCAATCCAAAAGAAATAGGGAACACCATACCACTTCTTATATTATCAGACATCTTCATACCTAAATTGAGATAGGATAACTAAGAAGAGATGATCACACTGTTGGAAGGGGATCTGTCAGCATCAGGGATTTTAGAAGAGGGACCTTGAAGAAGACCTGGTAAGAAAGAACATCAGTTGTTTTTGTCTAAAATTCTGTCCTATGGATCTAGCCAGAATACATTTGTCTTTGCTCTCAGCAGTTGGGAACCTGACTTTAAAAAAAAAAAAAAGAAAAAATCATTTTGTAGATGGAAGACTAAAAGAAGTCTGATGAGGAGAAAATCCTTATAGCAACCAGAGGTGAGAGGGGATTGTATTACACATAGAAAGACAATGTAAAGTAGTATCTTTAAAGTTCTGAAAGAAAAAAAAAAATTGTCAACCTAGAATCACACAACCAATAACATTATCTTTCAAAAATGAAAGTGAAATGAAGACATTTAAAAACATATAAAAGCTCAGAGAATTCATCACCAAGGTAACTACAGTAGTCACCGCTTTATCTGTGGTTTTGCTTTCTGCAGTTTCATTTACTTGCCGTCAACAGCAGTCTAAAAGTATTAAATGAAAAATTCTGGAAATAAACAATTCATGAGTTTTAAATCACATGCTATTTTGAGTAGCATGACAAACTCTTTCCCTGTCCTGCTCTGTCTTCATCAGGATGTGAATCATCCCTTGGTCCAATGTAGCCACACTGTACATACTCCCTACCCAATAGTCATCAGCATCATGTACTCCTAACATCTAACCATCATCATTGTGGCTCTGTGATCCAGGATCACCAGAAGATGACCTTTCTTCTGATATATCATCAGAAGGTCAATAGCAAACTAATCCTATGTCACAATGCCTACATCATTCACCTCCCTTCGTCTCATCACATAGGGATTTTATCATCTCATATCATCACAAGTAAAAGAAGAGTGAGTACAGTATAGTAAGATGCTTTTAAAAAGAGACAGAAAAAGAACATCTTTATGTAACTTTTATTACCATTGTTATAATTGTTCTATTTTATAATGTCATTGTTATTAATCTCTTACTGTACCTACTTTATCATTTAAACTTTATCATAGGTATGTAAGTCTAGGAAAAAACATAACGTATATATGCGGTTGGTACTATCCATAATTTCAGGCATCCACTGTAGGGCTTGAATCATAGTCCCTATGGATAAGTGGGGACTAATGCACACTACAAAAAATATTAAGGAAGTCCTTCAGGAAGGAAAATGACAACAGATGGAAATTCAGATCTACACAAAGCACCAGGAATATTAATTACATCAGTAAATATAAAAGAATGGTTTCATTATTAATAAAATCTCAGTAAGAGATAATTGTCTAACAAAAATAGTAATGTTAGGATTTATGACATATGTAACAGTAAAATATAGAGCAACAATAGCACAAAGGCCATGAAAGGAGAAATTGAAGTAATTTCAATTTCTTCATACATATGATAAGAAATTTATCTTATCATATGTATGAAGTTCGTATCATATGTATGAAGTGGTATATCACTTGAGGGTAGGCTATGAAGGATGTTTATCATAGATCATTAAGCAATGACTAAGATAACAAAACAGAGGTATAATAAGGCAACAAATGTGATAAAATAAAATTATTTAAAAAACAAAAAAGGAGCAAAGAAGAAATGCGGCCAATAAAAAATAACAAGATGATAGACTTAAACCTAGCAATATTAATAATCACATTAAATTTAAATGATCTGAACACTCAAATTAAAAAGCAAACGTTGCCAGATTCGGTTAAAAAACTAAATGCTGCCTAAAGGAAACATACTTAAAATATAAAGAGAAAAATAAGCGAAAAGTAAAAGGATAAGAAAAAAAATACGTGTATTAGTCTGTTCTCACACTGCTATAAAGACATACCTGAGACTGGGTAATTTATAAAGGAAAGAGGTTTAACTGACTCACAGTTCAGTATAACTGGGGAGTCTTGGGGACACTTACAATCAAGGAGGAAGCTGACGGGAAAGCAATGTATCTTCTTCACAATGTGTCAGGAAGAAGTGCCTAGCAAAGGCGGGAGAGCCCTTTATAAAACCATCAGATCTGGTGAGAACTCACTCACTATCATGAGAGCAGCATGGGGGAAACTGCCTCCATGATTCAATTACTTCCACCTGGTCTCTTCCTTGCCACGTGGGGATTATGGGGACTACAATTCAAGATGAGATTTTGGGTGAGGACACAGCCAAACCATATGAATAAATATATATATATTTATATTTCTATTTATATATATATTTGTATATATGCCAAGCTAACAATAATCAAAGAAAGCTGGTGGAGTGGCTGTACACATATTATATATGAGAAAACATTTTAAATGGTCCATTTCCAAGGCATGATAAGTCTAAGTATTGGCAGCCAGCCTGTGAATGTAACAAACAGCATGGCTTATGCACCTAGAAGGTCACAATGAGTGAACAGAATGTAGAGGAGGAGTTAGCCCATAAAAGGGAAGAAAGTTTCGTTATTGGGAAATTGAAACTTAAACGGGGAAGGGGACCAGGTTATAACCTTATAAGGGAGATAATGAAACTTAGATGATGTCCGGGAAGATTGTAATCCCATAGTACTCAACTAGTGAGGAACTGGGGGAGGAACCTGCATGCCAAGAGATAAATTATCTGTTGTAACAGCCCCGGGTGTGTCTGCCTACCAGACACCTGATCTTGCAAGACTGCCATTAAAAGTCTTGCTTCTGCTGTGCTTCCTATCTCCGAGTCCATTCCTTGGATTTGGACAGGTGAATGTGTGTTTCTCATATATAGAGAGATATCTATATATCTCTATATATAGATTATATATATACATACACATACATATTTCTCACATATAAAATATGTATTCAAAGTAGATTTTTTTTGGTTAAAAATAATTTAATGTAAATGGTGATTAGTCAAAACAACAAAGTGGTCAATATGTTCTCAATAACTTTTACACAATTCCTCATTCAGCAATTTCTCAATCTTTATGCAACTTTAATAATTTGTGTCTGGTTTGGGAATTTTTCAGATGGTTGTGCTGTTTCTCCTAAGTACTTTTAGCTAATTCTGTAAGTCTGAGCCATTAGAATACTAAAATTTTTTAAATAGCCTAAATGCTAGAAGGGAAACAAGAATTTTGTGCTATGCCCAGGAACCATAAACTTATGCAGTCAATAAATTAAAATGTAGTCACATAAAAGTATCCATTGAAATGAAAAACAAAATAAGAAGGCAATCAAATTGTACATAATGTGTTTTCAAGTTAAAAAATTAAAATTAAAAAGATACTTAAATATATATGTATGCACAGAAAGGGATTCAGGAAGGTAGACATCATTGTTCAACAGAGACCATGATTTTTTAATTTTAAATTGACAAATTATAATTGTATATATTTATGAGGTAAAAGGTGATGTTATGTCATATGTATACAATGCGGCATGATTAAATCAAGGTAATTAACACACCCGTCACCTCAAATACACATCTTTTTTTTTGGTGAGGAGAATATTTGAAATTGACTCTCTTAGTAATTTTAAGATATATGATACATTATTATTAACTATGGTTATCATGCTTTACAATAATCTCAAAAAACACTTTTCTCCTAACAGAAACTTTATGCTTTTTAACCAACAGTTTTAAATGGTTTTAAAGGGTTTAACTCACCCTTTCCACATCCCCTTCATCCCCGACCTCTAATAATTACCATTCTACTCTCTGATTCTTATGAGTGTTCAGTTGTTTTATACTCCACATATAGGTGAGTTTATGTGGCATTTGTCTCAAAGTAGATTTTAAAAGAAAGAATATTACCAGGGATAAAGGGTGTCATCAATAATGATAAAAGGGTTAATTAATTCATCAATAAAACTGTAAATGTTTATACCCCTAATCACAGAGCTTTGAAATGAATGAAACAAAGGCTGGCAGAGCTGTGAGAAGATAATAGATACATTCAAACTATAGTTACAGTTAAGTATCCTTCTTTGAATAATTGATAGAACAAGTAATTAAAAATAAACTTCTACATCATAGACTTAAACACAATTATCAACCAACTTGATCTAACTAACATTTATAGAACAATCACCCTACAACAGCAGAAGACACATCCTTCTAATGTACATACAGAACATTTACAAAGATAAACCATGTTTTGTCCCATAAAACATATCTCAATAAATGTAGTAAGATCCACTTATACAAAATATGTTTCTTACCACAATGAAAATATTATAAATTAATAACCAAAAGAACTCTGAAAAATACCCAAACATTTGGAAATTAGATTACATACTTCTAATTATCCATGGGAAAATGAATTTTTTAAAATTAGAAATAATCTTGAACTAAATAAAAATGACAATATAGTATATTACATTGTGTGAATGACACAAAACTAGTTAGGGGAAATTTATAGCACTGAACACCTATAATATAAAAAAATTCTCAAGTCAACGATTTCTACTTTCACCTCAATAAAACTGGGGTAAAAACAGAAAATTAAATCCAAGCTAAACAGAGGAAGAGAAATAATAAAAATCAAAATATTAATCAGGATCAAATTCACACATAACAATATTAACCTTAAATGTAAATAGGCTAAATGCTCCAATTAAAAGACACAGACTGACAAATTGGTTAAAGAGTCAAGAACCATCAGTGTGCTGTATTCAGGAGACCCATCTCATGTGCAGAGACACACATAGGCTCAAAATAAAGGGATGGAGGAAGATCTACCAAGCAAATGGAAAACAAAAAAAGGCAGGAGTTGCAATCCTAGTCTCTGATAAAACAGACTTTAAACCAACAGAGATCAAAAGAGACAAAGAAGGCCATTACATAATGGTAAAGGGATCAATTCAACAAGAAGAGCTAACTATCCTAAATATATATGCACCCAATACACGAGCACCCAGATTTATAAAGCAAGTCCCTAGAGACCTACAAAAGACTTAGACTCCCACACAATAATAATGGGAGACTTTAACATCCCACTGTCGACATGAGACAGATCAATCAGACAGAAAGTTAGCAAGGATATCCAGGAATTGAACTCAGCTCTGCACCAAGCGGACCTAATAGACATCTACAGAACTCTCCAACCTAAATCAACAGAATATACATTTTTCTCTGCACCACATTGCACTTATTCCAAAATTGACCACATAGTTGGAAGTAAAGCACTCCTCAGCAAATGTAAAAGAACAGAAATTATAACAAACTGTCTCTCAGAGCACAGTGCAATCAAACTAGAACTCAGGATTAAGAAACTCACTCAAAACTGCTCAACTACATGGAAACTGAACAACCTGCTCCTGAATGACTACTGAGTACATAACGAAATGAAGGCAGAAATAAAGATGTTCTTTAAAACTAATGAGAACAAAGACGCAACATACCAGAATCAATGGGACACATTTAAAGTAGTGTGTAGAGGGAAATTTATAGCACTAAATGCCCACAAGAGAAAGTAGGAAAGATCTAAAATTGACACCCTAACATCACAATTAAAAGAACTAGAGAAGCAAGAGCAAACACATTCAAAAGCTAGCAGAAGGCAAGAAATAGCAAAGTTCAGAGCAGAACTGAAGGAGATAGAGACACAAAACACCGTTCAAAAAATCAATGAATCCAGTAGCTGGTTTTTTGAAACGATCAACAAAATTGATAGACTGTTAGCAAGACTAATAAAGAAGAAAAGAGAGAAGAATCAAATAGATGCAATAAAAAATGATAAAGGGGATATCACTACCGATCCCACAGAAATACAAACTACCATCAGAGAATACTATAAACACCTCTACGCAAATAAACTAGAAAATCTAGAAGAAATGGATAAATTCCTGGACACATACACCCTCCCAAGACTAAACCAGGAAGAAGTTGAATCTCTGAATAGACCAATAACAGGCTCTGAAATTGAGGCAATAATTAATAGCCTAGCAAACACAAAAAAGTCCAGGACCATACAGATTCACAGCCTAATTCTACCAGAGGTATAAGGAGGAGCTGGTATTCCTTCTGAAACTATTCCAATCAATAGAAAAAGAGGGAATCCTCCTTAACTAATTTTATGCAGCCAGCATCATCCTGATACCAAAGCCTGGCAGAGACACAACAAAAAAAGAGAATTTTAGACCAATATCCCTGATGAACATCAATGCCAAAATCCTCAATAAAATACTGGCAAACCGAATCCAGCAGCACATTAAAAAGCTTATCCACCACAATCAAGTTGGGTTCATCCCTGGGATGCAAGACTGGTTCAACATATGCAAATCAATAAACGTAATCCATCACATAAACAGAACCAATGACAAAAACCACACGATTATCTCAATAGATGCAGAAAAGCCCTTTGATAAAATTCAACACTCCTTCATGCTAAAACCCCTCTATAAATTAGGTATTAATGGAGCATATTCCAAAATAACAAGAGCTATTTATGACAAACCCACAGGCAATATCATACTGAATGGGCAAAAACTGGAAGCATTCCCTTTGAAAACTGGCACAAGACAGGGATGCCCTCTCTCACCACTCCTATTCAATATAGTGTTGGAAGTTCTGGCCAGGGCAATCAGGCAGGGGAAAGAAATAAATGGTATTCAATTAGGAAAAGAGGAAGTCAAATTGTTGTCCCTGTTTGCAGATGACATGATTGTATATTTAGAAAACCACGTTGTCTCAGCCCAAAATCTCCTTAAGCTGATAAGCAACTTCAGCAAAATCAATGTGCAAATCAGGATACAAAATCAATGTGCAAAAATCACAAGCATTCTTATACACCAACAACAGACAAACAGAGAGCCAAATCATGAGTGAACTCCCATTCACAATTGCTTCAAAGAGAATAAAATACCTAGGAATCCAACTTACAAGGGATGCGAAGGACCTCTTCAAGGAGAACTACAAACCACTGCTCAACAAAATAAAAGAGGACACAAACAAATGGAAGAACATTCCATGCTCATGGATAGGAAGAATCAATATTGTGAAAATGGCCATACTGCCCAAGGTAATTTATAGATTCAATGTCGTCCCCATCAAGCTACCAATGACTTTCTTCACAGAATTGGAAAAAACTACTTTAAAGTTCATATGGAACCAAAAAAGAACCCGCATTGCCAAGACAATCCTAAGCCAAAAGAACAAAGCTGGAGGCATCATGCTACCTGACTTCAAACTATACTACAAGGCTACAATAACCAAAACAGCATGGTACTGGTACCCAAACAGAGATATAGACCAATGGAACAGAAAAGAGCCCTCAGAAATAATGCCACACATCTACAACCATCTGATCTTTGACAAACCTGACAAAAACAAGCAATGGGGAAAGTATTCCCTATTTAATAAATGGTGCTGGGAAAACTGGCAAGCCATATGTAGAAAGCTGAAACTGGATCCCTTCCTTACACTGTATACAAAAATTAATTCAAGATGGATTAAAGAGTTAAATGTTAGACCTAAAACCATAAAAACCCTAGAAGAAAACCTAGGCAATACCATTCAGGACATAGGCATGGGCAAGGACTTCATGACTAAAACACCAAAAGCAATGGCAACAAAAGCCAAAATTAAAAAATGGGATCTAATTAAACTAAAGAGCTTCTGCACAGCAAAAGAAACTACCGTCAGAGTGAACAAGCAACCTACAGAATGGAAGAAAAATTTTGCAATCTACTCATCTGACAAAGGGCTAATATCCAGAATCTACAAATAACTCAAAAAAACAAAAAAAAAAACAATCCCATCAACAAGTGGGCGAAGGATATGAACAGACACTTCTCAAAAGAAGACATTTATGCAGCCAACAGACACATGAAAAAATGCTCATCATCACTGGCCATCAGAGGAATGCAAATCAAAACCACAATGAGATACCATCTCACACCAGTTAGAATGGTGATCATTAAAAAGTCAGGAAACAACAGGTGCTGGAGAGGATGTGGAGAAATAGGAACACTTTTACACTGTTGGTGGGACTGTAAACTAGTTCAACCATTGTGGAAGACAGTGTTGTGATTCCTCAAGGATCTAGAACTAGAAATACCATTTGACCCAGCCATCCCATTACTGGATATATACCCCAAGGATTATAAATGATACTGCTATAAAGACACATGCACACGTATGTTTATTGTGGCACTATTCACAATAGCAAAGACTTGGAACCAACCAGAATGTCCCACAATGATAGACTGGATTAAGAAAATATGGCACATATATACCATGGAATACTATGCAGCCATAAAAAAGGATGAGTTCATGTCCTTTGAAGGGACATGGATGAAGCTAGAAACCATGATTCTCAGCAAACTATCACAAGGACAGAAAACCAAACACCGCCTGTTCTCACTCATAGGTGGGAATTGAACAGTGAGAACACTTGGACACAGGAAGGGGAACATCACACACCGGGGCCTGTTGTGGGGTGGGGAAAGGGGGAGGGATAGCATTAGGAGATATACTTAATGTAAAGGATGAGTTAATGGGTGCAGCACACCAACATGGCACATGTATACATATGTAACAAACTCGCACATTGTGCACATGTACCCTAGAACTTAAAGTATAATAATAAAAAAAAAAGAAAACAGCGGAGAAAGTCAATGAAACCAAAAGCTGGTTCTTTGATATCAATTTTCTTAATAAACCTTTAGCTAGACAACTTAGGGAAAAAAAGGGAGAAAATAAATTACTCATTTCTGGAATAAGAGTAGTGACATGACCACAGATTCTATAATTACTAAAAACAATGAGGAAATATTATCAGGAACCTAATGGATATAAATTCAACAACTTAGATACAGTAGACAAATCCCTTGAAAGATACAAACAACCAAAACTCACAGAAATAGATAAATTTAATACCCCCATATTTATTAAAGCAGTTGAATTTGAAATTAAAACATCAGGCCGGGCATGGTTGCTCATGCGTGTAATCCCAGCACTCTGGGAGGTCGAGGCGGGTGTATCACCTGAGGTCAAGATTTCGAGACCAGCCTGGTCAACATGGCGATACCACGTCTCCATTAAAAATTAAAAAAGAAAAAAATTAGCCAGGCCTGGTGGTGGATGCCTGTAATCCCAGCTACTCGGGAGGCTGAGGCAGGAGAATAGCTTGAACCTGGGAAGCGGAGGTTGCAGCGAGCCGAGATCGAGCCATTGCACTCTAGCCTCAGCGACAAAAGCAAAACTTCGTCTCAAAAAATTTTTTTAAAAAAGCAAAGAAATTAAAAAATTTTCCTACAAAGAAAATCCCACCCCCGATGGCTTTATTGTAAATTCTACCAAATATTTAAAGAAGAGAAAACCAAACACCACATGTTCTCACTTACAAGTGGGAGTTGAACAATGAGAACACATGGACACAGGGAGGCAAACATCACACACTGGGGCCTGTTGTAGGATAGGGGGCCAGGGGCGGGATAGCATTAGAAGAAATGCCTAATGTAGATGACGGGTTGATGAGTGCAGCAAACAACCATGGCACATTGTATACCTATGTAACAAACCTGCACGTTCTGCACGTGTATCCTAGAATTTAAAGTATAATAATAAAAAATTAAATAAATAATATCAATTTTATACAAAATCTAGAAAATCAAAGATAAGGGAATATTTTTCAGCTCATCTGTCTATAGGGCCTGCTATAGCAGCCTGGCCAACACGGTGAAACCCCATCTCTACTAAAAATACAAAAATTAGCTGAGTGTGGTGGTGGGTGCCTATAATCCCAGCCATTTGGGAGGCTGAGGCAGGAGAATCGCTTGAACCTGGGAGGAAGAGGTTGCAGTGAGCTGAGATCGCGCCATTGCCTGGGTGACAAGAGTGAAACTCTGTCTTGAAAAAACAAACAAATAAAGTTTTTTTAAAGAAAGAAAAAAGAAAATGACAGGCCAATATATGTCATAAGCACAAATACAGAGATTCTCAACAATATGCTTGCAAATTAAACCTGACAATATATAAAAAAGATAAAATATCATGAGCAAGTGGGGTTTATCTCAGGAATGCAGGCTTGGGCTAGCACTCAAAAATCAATCAATGTGAATCACCATGTTAATAAAGTAAAAAAGAGCCATATGATTATCTCAATAGCCATAGAAATGGCATTTGACAAAATCCAGTCTCTATTCCTGATTTTTAAAAATAAAGTCTCATCAAACTAGCAATAGAAGGAAACTCCCAAAACATGACAAATGGCACTTACTGAAAAAGCTATGGTATGCCATACATAATTTGGTGGTAAGGACACTGCTTTTCCCTCATTATCAGGAATAAGACAAGGATGAGCACTCTCACCACTTCTACTTAACCTTGTTCTGAAAGTTCTAGTCATTAGCAGTTAGGCACTTCATTAAAGAAGATAAATGGATGACAAGCTCCGAAGAAGACGTTCTACATTGTTATTAAATGCAAATTAAAAGCACAACGATATCTACATACCTATTCTCATGGCTAAAATTTCACACCAAGTGTTGGCAATGTTGCGGAGAAGCTGGAATCCTTAGAGACTTCTTGCTGGAATGTGGAGTGGTACTACCACTTCTGAAAACATACCAAGGTGAGGTTGATAGGTGTAGCAAACCACCATGGCACATGTTTACCTATGTAACAAACCTGCACATCCTGCATATATATATCCTGGAACTTAAAAAAAAATTAAATTAAAAAAAAATTTGACAGTTTTTTTTCACACTATAAATGGGAATTTTTATTGATGCTTCTGAACCATGTTCTCCTATGGGCCTAGAGACCATGTATATTTTTGATAAACTCTTCAAGACATAGGCTTGAAGAGTTTATCTTATTGATTGCCTAATCTCATATACATAGTGGAATCTTAAAAGAGTTGAGTACAGAGATAGAGAATAAAACAGTGATTACCAGGGGCAGGAAGCGAGTGGTGGTGGAAGAAATGGGGAGATGTCATTGGGTTCAGCACTATTTGTGGTTTCAGGCACCCACTGGGGATCCTGGGACATATCCTCTGCAAATAAGTGGGGAGTACTGTATCTGCTACTTTGTATTCTCTGACAGTTTCTTAAAATAGTACACATACATATGATCCAGCTATTCCACTTATAGGTGCTTACCCAAAAGAATAAACCGTATTCATACAAATACCGGTACATAAATGTAGCTTTATTTGTATTGAAATGCAGTTTTATTTGTATTGAAAACAATCTGGAAACACCCAAATGTTAGCAGCAGAGGAATGAGTAAAGAAATTGTGGTATATTTATATGCAATGAAATACTACTCAGCAATAAAAAGGAATGAACAAACTTGATACACCTAACAACATGGATGATTCTCAAAACAGGCTGAATGAGGGAAGCCAGACAAAAAGGAATACATACTGCATGATTCTATTTACATAGAATTCTTAAAATACAAACTAATCCATACTGAGAGAAAGTGGATCAGTGACTGCCTAAGGAATGGGTCAGGGGATGATGCAGAAGAGATAATTGAGAAAAGTACATTAGGAAATTTTGGGAGGATGAATATGTTTAATCTCTTGGATGTGGTGATAACTTTACAGGTATAATATGTACATAGTCAAAGCTTATCAAATTGTACATTTGAAATATATGCCATTTATTGTTTGTAGTCAAAGCTTATCAAATTGTACATTTGAAATATATGCCATTTATTGTTTGTAGTTATACGTCAATAGAACTATTAAAATAAAATTGATATGTTTTATCTTTTTCTATCTCAGGAACTCAACTTGTAAGTGTATTCTTTAAAACTGCTTTAATTTTAATGAGATAAAAATCTATACCTTTTGGAGTACATGCTGTCATGTTGGCTTTAGGATAGACAGCCGGAAAAGTTATAAAGTTGCAGAAAAATGTCTTTCCTCCAATAAAGTCATCTGAAAGTTCTGCAAAAGAAAAATAGTAATATGGTTCAAGAAGTTACCTGGGAAAAGTACATTTAAAGATAATAGCACAGACAACATTTCAGATGAAAATTATGAAGTTTTAATTAGTCTGCAAGCTTTCAAAAATCCCTGTAGGTAAATTGCAGTAGCAACAGATGGCAGAAAATTTGGAAATCACAGTAGTGGGCACAGCATCTTAAAATGTAGATATCTGCCTAAAAAATTAACACAACGTTATATGTAAACACTCTGATCCAATGTACATGTTTAAAAATAGGTTAGTTTGCACTGACAAAGTAAGTTTAATATGCATTAAAGTTATCCACAAGAAGCCTGCATCAATATTCTTTGAGTCTTCAGAAAAAGGTGTCTTTACAAATTGTTTCTTTCATGATGATGACAATCTCTTGATGTGATAATTTTTTTCTCCTGATTTATCACTTAATCAGAAGTACTGAAAGACTGTAAAATTCCTAAGCTAGACCTATACCACTTGCAAATTCATCACTGACTGAACGAGTGATTAAATTGCCCAGCTTTTCTTTTTATAAGATGTCCAAGATAATTATCCTGAAGCTCAATTTATTTGGTTGGTTCATTCATTCACTCATATATTCCTACAATACTCTCAGGAATTTAACATATATCAAATTCTAGAATAGACATTAAGGATTTAAAGTCAAATAAGGCCCAGAAATCGCTGTGGTGAAGAAACAGGCAATTTAGTGTGAAATTAGACACCAATTTGAAAATATAATGGGATAAGTATTACGGTAAAATTCATGTACAAGATACTGAAAAAAACACCTCCAGGTATACCTATCCCTGGAGTTGAATGAGCTCAGTAAAGTCTGTACAGAGAAGTAATATTGGAATTAATGGGGCAAGGGTAGAAGATGCAGAATATGAATTGCCAGGAATTGAGTGAGCCACTTTCTCTTTATAATAAAATTTGATTGACCTAATATTATTTTCGCCATATAGCTTTCTGATAAGCCAATTAATCAGTCAGGCTTAACTTCCAATAAAGTGGTTGACACATCTTCCCAGACATTTGACCAAAGCTTCATTGACAAAGCAATATAAGATTTTGTGTGTCTGAATGATTAAATAGATCCACAATTAAAGTGCAGCATAGAGGGTATTCTGGAACCTCTTCATCTCATACTCCACTCAATAAGATCCCAATCTGATCTCATAACATTCTCTTCATTAAAGTCTTAGATCATGGGCTTTGGAGTCAGAAGGACCTGGGTTTATCTTGCAACACTGACACCATAAATTGTTTGAATTGGGGTTTAATCTCTATCAGCTTCAGCACTGCAACATGTGTACAGTACTATCTATTTTATGTGGCTGTTGTAAGAACCAAATGATGTAACATTTGTAAAGCGCATTATCGTAGTGGTTACTTAGTAAGAACTCGGTGAACATACATGCTACAGAATGCACAGCTATATACCCCAGCACTTGCTTTGATATAGTATTTTTGGACTCCAGATAAAGTAGAAATGGGTTTGAGAATCTTTATCCTGAGGTGGAAGGTGCAGAGATTTTTAACAGTGATACAGAAGCTTAAAGAGTTTTCTGTTTCACAGGGACATTTAGAATCTTATCTGAAATATCTGAAGCTCCACAATGATTGTGCTAACCTACAATAATTAACACTCTTTGCACTTGCTAAGATCAGTAGTGCAGCTTGTTAAGAATTGATTTAACATGTAGTTTTGACCTGCGCAGAGTAATTGCCAAAAGCAAGGAAATGTCATAACAAGTAGCGATATCTGGTATTCACCATTGCACCCTGCCCAGTGCCATTCCTGATGGCACAACTGCCTGCCCAGTACTGAGATTTCATCAAGAGAAGTTACCTGTGACAGAAAGGAAGTTTCTGCACCCAGAATTATTTTTATATGACATATGCAAATGTAACTCATACTACATTCTAGATATTCAAATAAAAATAAAATTCCTTTATCTTTTTAATCGATTATCTGTACTTCCATAAAAGTCCCCACTGACTTTTTTTTTTTTTTTTGAGAAGGAGTCTCGCTCTGTCGCCAAGGCTGGAGTGCAGTGGCGTGATCTTGGCTCACTGCAACCTGCAACCTCCACCTCCCAGGTTCAAGTGATTCTCCTGCCTCAGCCTCCCGAGTAGCTGGGACTACAGGTGTGTGCCACTATGCCTGGCTAATTTTTGGTATTTTTAGTAGAGACGGTGTTTCACCGTGTTGGCCAGGATGGTTTCGATCTCCTGACCTCGTGATCCGCCCACCTCGGCCTCCCAAAGGGCTGGGATTGTAGGTGTGAGCCACCCCACCGCACCCAGCCAAGGTCCCACTCACTCTTTAGCAGGAAAAAAATTAACTAAATGTCCAGTGTCATTTACATTTATAATAATTGAAATAGTGATTAAGTTAACATAATATTAGACTTTCTAGGAATAGCTCAGTTTCTGGAGTGGCCGTTTTGTCTTCTTGCTTCTCTCTTCAAGGTGATGTCCTAGAGCATAAGTGGAGGAATTCATCGTTCACGAGATCACTTACGAGCAAATGATGCAGGGTCTTTTTGCAGAGTGTTTTTCTCATGTTTAGTGTAGTGCTTAGATGTTCTCTAGTCTCAAGATTTGTATGTCTAAGTACTTACTTGACATTTTATGTGGCTATCCAACAGATATCAGAAACTGAAATATTCAAAACAGAACTCAAATTTTATTCCTCGCTTAACCTTCTCCATTCGTATAAATGGTGCCGTGATCACCCAGTTTCTCAAACCAAAACTTTAGGAGTCATTTCCTTTCCCTTACCTTCCCCATCTAATGTTCACTAGAGTCTATCAGTTCTGCTAAAAACATGTTTTGGATCTATCATCTTTTCTGTGTCATCTTTGCCATTATTCTGATTCAAACATTATCTCGGCATTATCTCTTGGCTAGACTCCTGTCGTAACTTTTCGTGTTTTCAACTCAATTCTTCACTTGCCAGTCAGGCTGAACTTAAAAATGTCAATCAAATTCACAATTTCCTTCAAAACTGCCAATGTCTTCCATTGCATGTAGAATGAAATCTTGTCTAATAATATAAAAATTGAGGTTACCTTGCCTTACATCCCATGCAATATCCAGCTCCTGCTGCAGGTCCAATGTCATCATTCCCACTCCCAAACACAATGACTTCTATTCTGTTCCCTGAGCAAGAAAAACTCTTACATGCCTTAGAACCTTTTCAATTCTCTGCTCTATGTGCCTGGAAATGCTCTTCTCCAGGCTTGTAGCAAGCTAAACTGCTACTTCGTCAGAAAGGCTTCTGCCCATATTGTCAAGAGTAGCAGAATTCAGTTCTTCGCTTTCTATCACATCACCTTCTTTCTATCATATCACTTATTGCAATTTGTAATTATTGATTAATTAATATGTTCATTTTTTTACTAGCTTATTTTCTGCCCCCCCCCTTATTATAAGTTCCATGAAGGCAGGAATCATACTTGTCTTGTTACCATGATTTATTTTACCACCATTCACTGAGTGGAATGGATGAATTTATCACTATATGCTGCAGTTAGATATGCATTCGATTATGCTTAAAATGACTTGTCAAACTACTTAATTCTTTCCTTAGTTGTCATAGAGTGGCTTTAGTTATTTAAAACTACTGTTGTTACCACTACAACTACTATTGCCTTTTAAATATTCTGTAATAAAATAACTGACGTTTCCTAACAAGCAATTGGAAACAAGAGCATGGTTCTTCAACTGGGCAGAACTGGTGGAAATTACCAGAGTGTTGGTCATATTTTCTACTATAAGAGTTAGGACTGTGTCAGTAGCATTTTAAGAGCTAGTGATGATGATTGCCTTGAAAGTTCAGTCATTCAGAAAGTTGAGATAACCTACATTCACTTAGGAGAAATATATAGCTTCTATGCATAGATCAGCACCCTCTCTGGGGTGTGTGCTTTGTCTGTAATCATCCAGATCAAAATTTTATACCCAAAGCTCTGATAAAATAGACAATCCAAATATCCTTTGCTTTTTATGGTGCTGGTCCATGAAGCATGACATTGCATGAGACAAGTATCACACAGAATTTTCACTTGTCCTGAGGCCTGGAAAGCCCTAATGAAAT
Organism: Homo sapiens; assembly: GCF_000001405.40. NCBI lineage: Eukaryota > Metazoa > Chordata > Mammalia > Primates > Hominidae > Homo > Homo sapiens. Next base: position 113,506,243 of record NC_000007.14, on the reverse strand, counting down.
TTAATTTGTTTTGCTTGGAGCATTATTGGCTCAAGCATATTGGATTCATCCAGAAACTAATCTCTGAAATCCTAGAAATAACAGCTTTGACATTACGTTTTTCTTCCTGTTTTGTATCATTGTGACTGTTAAAATATATGCAGAAATTACTCAAAACTGAACTGTGGTGGTTAAAATTTTGCATTAGACTTTCAAACGTGAACTTTCCTCAAATTTATGCAATGAAAGAGAATTCAAGGGAGTCTTTCTCCCAGGAAACTTTCTTAGAAAATAATTTTAAGCTAACCAATGGAGTGCTTGTCTTTTCTCTTATTAAAGATTCTTCAGAACTAATTTTCACAGCCACTTTTCACCTTTACACCTTTTGGTGAAACTTTGATAAATGTGTTAAATAGTCAGACTAGCAGATATTAATGTGGAAATTGACACCCATCAGCCCCAGTTCCTACATTTATGTCTGTGTGCCTTTGGCCAAGTTATTTAACTTTTCTGAGCCTCTACTTTTTCCATTGTAAAATAAGAATACTGCACTAAGACTGTCTGCTATGGCATATAATTCTCAAGGATTAATGGAGATAAGTAAAGGCCTTAACCAAGGGGTTGGCATTGCATGTCCAATGAATAACTACTATCACTAGCTATATTGGTGACTAAGTTTTCTTTTAATTAATTCTTTGTGTCTCACAACTTTTGACTGTAAATTATACATTTTTGTAGAAAAAGTTTGTTGTGTTTTTTAATGTTTAGATGTAATAATTACCCTTTTACTAACATTTTTCCTAATATTTGTTTTACTTCTTACTACTTAAGAAGGTAAAATATAGTTATATAGACAATACATTTTAAATGTGTTTGTAACTCTAGTGCTAATTTTCAGGACAACTCTCACCACAACTTCATTGGATATAGTTGTGTAACAGAACTATTTATTCCCTTTTGTTCATACTTTGGTCTTATAAAAATATAAACATATATAAATATAAAATCACTTTCTGCTATAACAAAATTGGATGCTTATACCTTTTTTCACATTCAGGGAAGTACCGAGGAGATTTCTTTCAATCTTATATTCATTCTCTTACTAACTTTTCACCAAAGGAGGGCTAATAATGTAATTGGTGATAACCTGTGGCAGTCCTTTCCAAGGGGGCAGTATTCCTGGGCCTTAATGCAGCCATATGGGAGCGTTTCCTCCTTTCATCTCATTATCTACTGAAAGGATTTATACTATTTTTTGTAACACCATTTTTCTTACATTTTATCCTCCTTATAGAAAGCATGCATGAAAATATTTGCCACAGAGGCAAGGCTGCCCACACAAGTCCTTTTTGTTCTAGTGTCTCTGCCTGTGGTTGGAAATGTAAGGTAACCCTCACTCCATGAAACTGATTAGGTAAGGAGATTTAGAGTCTGTTTGAAAGACCGAGGTGTTCCATAAGCAGAAAGTAGGAAGGAAGAAGCTTCTGCTTCTATCTTACCAGGAAGCCCTGCTTTGGGAGAGTTCTAGCTTACCTAGAATTTAGGAAATGTGCGTGATTATTTTTCTTGTGTATAGCATGCTTTAGAGGATACTCCCTAAAAGAGAAAAGGAGCATGAAAGCTTTAAGTCATCCACAACCCCTAGCATTATGCTCTTTCTTTCAGAGCAATTCCAGTGATGATTTGTTACATTTAACATAGTTATAAGAGAGGATAGTCCACTTGTATTCATAGAAGACTTTCACTGACTATTTTGGGTTTTCACTATACATGATTCCCCTTAAATTCCACCTAGAAAATGTTTTCACAGTATACAATTTTATTTTTTTAAAGACAATACTCCAAACAGTGAAATCAACACTAGTTCTAAATATAGCCTTCATACTCTGCAGAAGGCAGAGGTAATCTCCTCAAGAACCCAGCCATGTAATCCAACCACTATTTAATGTCACAGGGACTTGCAGGATCTATTTATATAAATTGACAGGCACTGATATGGTTTCAAATACATTTCTACAACCCCATGTCATTCTTTCCTTGTGTGTTATAACTTCACAATCTCATGAAGAAAAAGTCAATTTTACTTTTAAGATTAAACTTGAAGAAATCAACAAACAAAATAACAATAACTAAAATATTCGACTTGATGTTCCCAGAGCTATTAGTGACACAGTACAAAAAAAGCTATTTTTCAACACGAAAAATAGCTGGAGAACAAATTACCATTTCAATGAAATCTGATGGTGAAAGGTTTAAGAGCAGAGCCACAGGCTCTGAAGTGAAACAGAACTGGGTTTGAGTCCTTAGCCGGGCGAACTTAGACTGGTTATATAATTGGCCTGAATATCCTTCTGAGTGGAAACGTGGTGAAAACTCCTTCCCCATAGGGTCCAGGTAAGTATCTGTGATAAGTTGTCAAGCTTATAGGACAGTGCCTGACACGCAATAAGGGCTGAAAAATGCCAGTGATCTGTTAGATTAAGTGCTTAGCAAGTCAGCACTAATCTATAAATAACCCACAATAAATTTCAGACAGTACAAGAATATTCCTGTTATTATTTTAACACATTTCATAGCTGACTTCAAGATCTTCAAAAAATATTTTTCTTTTATAAAAGAAGACATTAATAATGCATTCATGTATTTATTTGAAGACATTGTAATAGTAAATGGAATTAACATCTTAATTTGTTTCCCAACTTCAGTGTCTTCTTGCTGTCCGATTCATAGAACTACCCAATCAATCTTCCTAAAGAACAATTACCATCTTGTTATTCTCTTCTCCAAAACTCTTTACAGAGTCCCCATTACCCCATGAATGAAGACCAAACTTACTATCTTGCTTTTTAAGACCCTCCACAAATCTGTCCCTAACCTGTCCTTCAAAAACTATTCCTCACTCTTTTCCTTTATGAGTCTTATGTTATAGCCAAACTGAATTAGATTATAAATTCCTTAGTCAGAGGTCTTCATTTATTTGTCTTTATAACTCTGATATCTATTATACTGCAATGTATATGTATGTCCTTCCCAGTCAATACCAATATTAGTGGTCTCTAGGTTTGTTGATTTTGTTCTTACCCTTTCCAAAATTCACATCACAATTTATCATTGTCATTTTAAATGCTGTTTGGGTGTTCTGAAATGTTAGTGACTGCCAAACAATTCTAGTGCCTGCCATTTCAACTGCATTATGAAATTGTTAACTATAATACTAAGATGATCCCAGGGGAAACATTCTAATATCACCTGCAATATATTGTTGATGCCTTCTTTATTTGCAACCTACCTAATCCAAACTTAACCCAGGCCTTACACATCTGAAGATAGGGCTACCACGTATACTGAATCCTTGCTTAGCCTAGTGTTGCAGAGAGTATATTTTTGTGTGTTACTTGTTTAGTAAAGGAATGAGTTAAAGGCTTTATCAAAGTGCAGGATTTGCGTGATTTTATTTTCCTAACTAGTGGATAGTATGCCACTATTGCAAAGAAAAAAAAGTAGTCAATTTTAATATTATTTTAAAGGACATACTGTTTTCAACTCAATACATTGTGATTATTTATATAATTATACATTAATTATTCACAGACTTGTTATAACTGCTCGTAACATTAGTGCTTTAAAACAGAAAGGAATAAAGGTAACGCTCAAAGTTTTAAAGAAAAAAGAGGATAAATCGTAGGTATTTCATGACTAGTAAGATGCTTTTCCATCTCAGTAATCATCACTGCTCCATTACTCAAGTCAAAAACAGAGAAGTCATCCTTCCCTTCTTCCCTTACCTTCTGCAACCAAATTAATAGAACCAGGTTCTATTAGTTTTTCCAAGAAAATATGTTCTGAGTCTGCTCCCTCATCTCCACTGCAACCATATTAGTGACAGATGCACTTCAAACAGTCATTTTCTTATTGAATTACTACAATAATATCATCCTAATTGGTTGATCACCTACCTGTCTCACCCTTCTATAATTCATTCTAAAGTTAACCATTGATTCTTACTTTCCTCCTTAAAACCTTCTAGTTGTTTTCTATTGGATGTAGAATAGCACCCCAAATCCTTACGATAGCCTGCATAGAAGACCTCCATGAGGTCCTCCCCAGCAGCCTGTCCTACTCCTTCTCCTGCTAGTAATTTCCTTAAATAAATAAATCTCCTTTACAATATAGGGCCTTTGACATGCTTCTACCTCTGCTTGGAAGTGTTTACCTCATGTTTTGCATATTTTTTCAGGCTGCAATGCAAATATCACTTTAACAGAGAATCTTTCCCTGACCTTTGAATCCTAAAGATAATTTTTTAGTCCTTTGCTATCATATCATTTAATTGGCTTCATAATATTTACTACAGCAATGAATTGGTTGTTAATCTTGCTCATATATTTACTGCTTTTTTGTATTTTTCCTCCCTTCCTACTTGTCTAAATTAGAAGATACTTGAGAGCCAGAAAATTGTCCTCTTGTTAACTTATATATACCATGGTCTAGAACAAGAGTTGGCAAACTATGGCTTCTGAACCAACATAGCTTGCTGCCTTTCTTTGTACACAAAGTTTTGTTGGAACGCTACCACAGCCATTTATTTAAATATTGTCCTTGACTGTTTTCTTGCTACAGTGACAGAGTCAAGTAGCTATAACAGAGATCATATAGCCTCAAGCCTAAAGTATTTACCTTCTGACTATTTACAGAAAAAGTTTGCCAAACCTTAAGACTTGAGGGAAGCTAAGGAAGTTGCAAAAAATGATCAGTTACGTAGTCAAGGGCCTAACCTATTTCAGAGCTTGAATTAGGGTATTAGCAGTAGACAGTAAGAGAAGTAGAGACATCCTCCAGAGATAGAATGTACAGCATTTGACAACTGGCTAGGTGTAAGGAATAAAGGAAGAAGGTGAGGTGACTGCAGGGTTTTAAGTCTGGGTTACTTAGAGAATGTTGGTACCATTAACAAAAAACTGGGATGTAAGAAGAAGGATGTGATCTGGGGAAAGGACAATGAATATGATATCGGAAGTATTACACAAAATGTCAGCAGTACACTGTGGCAGAGATGGCAAGCTGACAGCCGTTTAGAGCTCTAGAAAGTGACAGAGACTAAAAAGCTGTATTTTAGATTCACATTTGTTTGAACAAGAACAATTTTTGAAATTTGGGAAGTAAAGACTCAAGGAGATTTTTTTTAAAAAGAATGTATTTAAGAACAGGACTTTCAGAAATTAATATATTTAATAATGAAAAGAGACACGAGAAAAAGAAATAGTCATTTAAGAAGGAAAATTACATTGGTTTCCAGAAGAGATGATTTTTGAGTGTTTACTGCTCCAAAAAGTTAAAAATGCAAAATGGAAGAGAGAAACTGGAGAAAAATTTTACACATTCATAACAAAAATTATTTTTACACCTATTAAATGATATAAACATAACATAATTCTTATCAATTAAAAATAAAAATGCTAGTGCTTATACATGTAAAGATAAAAGTGTGATTGTTGTAACAGTTGCTCAAACAACAATGACTTAAACAATATAGAAATGAATGTCTCTCTCTTGTAGCAGTCTAGCATGAGCATTTAAGGGCTGATATGGCAGCTCCATGGGGTGGTGATGAGCACCAAGCTCCTTCTAGCTTGTGATGCTGTGATTCTTAACATGTATGTTCCTCTTTGTGACTAAACGGCTCCTCCAGTTTCTGCCATCATATTCTTATTCCAGCAAGCAAGAAGAGGAGAAGAAAAGTAGAAGGCACCCCTCCTACTTTCTCTTTATGGGCACAATCCAGGTATTGCACACATTAGTACTGCTCACATCCCATTAGCCAGAAAGTAGTCTCAGAAGCACTCCAGCTGCCAAGAAGGATAGAATATGTCTTTATCCCAATGACCCATAAAATGTGTGAGTTTATTATTAACGAAAGAAAGAAAGCAGATATAGGGGACAGCTGGCAGTCTCTGCCACATACTGCCTCAAAAGAAGAAATGCTACACAGAATAAGAGAAAAAATCACAATACAAATGCCCTAACTATAGTCAAATACATGGAAAGTATAACAAGACAGCAGACAATTCTATCACATTGACAATTATACAATATTCTCAGGTAAACAGGCCTAACCACCCATCCCTTTACCTCCACACAGTCTAGGCTACCTCCCTATCACACCTAGACTATGACAATTGCCCCTAACCCATCTCCCTGCTTCAAGTCTTGTCATTCCCAATTAATCCTCCAAACTGCTTTCAAGTGATCTTCAAGAAAATCCAAATCTTTATAAGCTTACTTTACATAGGAGAAAAATCCAGGATTCTTGACATGGTATTAGACCTTATGGATCTTCACCCTTACCCCATATACGTATATGCTGCCAGCCGTCAAGAAATGCTTACAGCTTCCCTAATGAACCTTAACATTTCACATTTTTGCCGAGACTGCTTGCTCAGCCTGAATGCTTTCCTCTGGTCTCCTGGTAAATGCCTACTCGTCTTTAGATTTGGCTCAAATGTAACTTCTGTAAGTTATTTCTGATCTCTCACTTTACCACAAATAGAATTGATTTCCTCAGCTGTGCCCCTAGTGCACCTTGTGTATACTTTTATTACTTTATCACACATTGTTGTGTTGTTTTAGTTTGGCTTCTGCTTTGCCTACCTCACTCATTAAGAAATTAAACTTTTTGAAACATAGGATGGCATAATCTCTTTCTTATATCTGCCACATAACAGGCCTTCACTAAATGTTATTGGTGAAGTTACTGGGACCAATCTAATAACCCAGTCTCCTTAAATCCTGGATTAGGGCAGAAAGGGTCAGTGTTACCTGAGGGCTCATAGGAAATTTTGCTAGACATAGCTGTCCCTGTGCCTTGACACTTGAACATTGCCCTGGCCTGGGCTTTCTTTTTTTTTTTTTTTTTTTTTTTTTTATTATACTCTAAGTTTTAGGGTACATGTGCACATTGTGCAGGTTAGTTACATATGTATACATGTGCCATGCTGGTGCGCTGCACCCACTAATGTGTCATCTAGCATTAGGTATATCTCCCAATGCTATCCCTCCCCCCTCCCCCGACCCCACCACAGTCCCCAGAGTGTGATATTCCCCTTCCTGTGTCCATGTGATCTCATTGTTCAATTCCCACCTATGAGTGAGAATATGCGGTGTTTGGTTTTTTGTTCTTGCGATAGTTTACTGAGAATGATGGGTTCCAATTTCATCCATGTCCCTACAAAGGATATGAACTCATCATTTTTTATGGCTGCATAATATTCCATGGTGTATATGTGCCACATTTTCTTAATCCAGTCTATCATTGTTGGACATTTGGGTTGGTTCCAAGTCTTTGCTATTGTGAATAGTGCCGCAATAAACATACGTGTGCATGTGTCTTTATAGCAGCATGATTTATAGTCCTTTGGGTATATACCCAGTAATGGGATGGCTGGGTCAAATGGTATTTCTAGTTCTAGATCTCTGAGGAAACGTCACACTGACTTATACAATGGTTGAACTAGTTGACAGTCCCACCAACAGTGTAAAAGCGTTCCTATTTCTCCACATCCTCTCCAGCACCTGTTGTTTCCTGACTTTTTAATGATCGCCATTCTAACTGGTGTGAGATGATATCTCATTGTGGTTTTGATTTGCATTTCTCTGATGGCCAGTGATGATGAGCATTTTTTCATGTGTCTGTTGGCTGCATAAATGAATAGACTAAGATTTCAGTGATTGAGTCTCATGGCATGTGATAAAGAGTTAGTGATAAAGATTTAAATGGCACATAACATCATCCCAATTGAATGCATCGGGGGGTCATGATGCTGTGTGGTTAGTAAGATATACTCAGTGTGCCTATAACCCAGATTGGCTTCTGTGCTGGCCTTGTTGTTTGACATTAACCTCAGTAATGTCCACAGTGCTTCCACCCCTCTCTCATCCTCAAAGATCTTCTCACCACTAATATAGCAGCAAAGAGGGATAGTCTCTGCAACTTCAGGCTTTCTTGCTGTCCCCAAAGACAAACACACAGGACTTTTGATTTTAAGGGGATGGCAAAACCAAAATGCATGGGGAAATTACAAAATTTAAGTAGTTTTATGATGTTGTTATGACTATGTTCCCTGATCTGTGGTAGCTGACTTCTGAGTAGTCATTGAAGGAATCACTTCTGATCTCTAAGATTTAGTCTTGAATATGAGTTTTTCAGCTTTCCTTTGTCTATGCCATCCCTAGCCCCAGTCTCTTGGAGTAATAACAACCCCCATTCAAGAGGAATCCTCCTGCAGGCCTGAGGACCCAATTTGTGAAGACAAAGTGTTTGCTTTTTCTTACAATGAGTGACAATCAATATAGCTCACAAGAATGTTTTCTTTGGATCCTTTCCTTACAAGGATTTCTGCTGCCATTTATCACCAATTGAAAAGGAACATATTAGAATATATGCTATTGCAAGATTTGTTGTTAATTTTAAAACACAAAATGGTGAAAATAATTAGATATAGTTAAGTTTAAATTGTCTACACTGTGCTCCAAACTGCAAATTGAATTAAATTAAATTTTGCTTTAGGGTTTGAAATGGAAATTACAAGCACAATATTACAGAAGTGTGGATTTTAGTTACAATGTCTCTATGAGAAAGTCTAAAAGTTAAACATAAGCAAAACAACAAAAACATCTAAATACCAGGTTAGTTTTCTCTTAATCTCATATTTTTGTTTTAAATGTACACATTTCTGAACTACTTACCAATACTTCTTTTGTCTTTAATTTTTACCTCTTTTAATGTATACCATCAATTTGATTACCATCAATTTGTTTTCATTAGATGATTATCTCATCAAAGTGGGTATGGAAGATGATTGTTTGCGAAAATAGGCTTCTTGAGGGCGGATTTTATGTTTAATGTTTGCTTTTATCCCTAGGAAAAATAAATAAATACCACATGCAGAAAAATCACTTACATGATAATTGTTTATAAAACAATAAAATGCAAATCTAGTGTTTTAAATCCTACCAAGAAGTAGTATGAAATATCAAAATGTTGACTAGAATGTATCCTTTTATAAGAAAGTTCTGCTAGACTTAAATATCTATCCCATACCGGGACTTCATATTTTACAAGTTGAGGTTCTCCCAAAGCTACGCAGCCAACAAGCTTTCATCTTTCATCTTCTATAATGAACACATTATATCCATGGAACCTAGGTCAGAGAAGATTAATGTGTACTGAACAGGGAGGGACAATTCAAGCAGGTACAATTTTTAAGGTGATTATGATCCATGCTATCCTGAGGGCATGGAAGGAAGAGGAGGTTCCAGGGGCACCAAACCAACTCACTGGGCACGTACAACTCCTCAGATGCTTTATGATACCACTGAGTGCATGAGGGCACACACAGAGGAGCATATACAGAGGGTGCAGTGATGTATGTGCAAGAGCTCATTGGCTGTTGCCATAGAGGCAGCCAGTAATGGCATATAGGGAACAAATAGAAGGACATAAAAAGAGATGACTGTGCCACATATACTGAGAAAGAAACCTGCTAAATCCTCTCCTCTCATTGGTCATCGCTATGGAGACAGCCTTTAAAAGCCCATAGGAGATGGAAATTAGATTCTAGTTTAAACACACACACACACAGACACACACACACACACACGACACACACCCCTTCTAGATGTGAGCATCCACATGAACAATATTTAAAGTCAATTTCATTATCTGTTTTCAGGAGTCATTAATAACATACAGCAAGGAGAATCCCCCTAGATACACAGAAAAATATCGGCATTATTTAATAATGTTGAAAAACATCTTTTTTCCTACCCTGGTATTCATTTCAAAAAATTATCCAATTCATCCAATTTTATCTCTAGGTTATATGTCAGATTCCAATACCACTGGATCCCATTAACAGGTCATCCTTTCAAATAATAAATACAACCCCCTGCTGCACAGAAAGTGCTTAAAGACCTTGAAGCCCTGATGTTTGGCAGGTAGACATTTCAAGTTTTGTCGATTGTTTACACCTTGGATAAATGTTTTTCAGTGAGGCATTAATAACAAGGTTCCCCAGTACCCCATTATGTTAAAAAAGATCCGTTGAGCTTTAACCTGCTGCTCACAAGGCATAAAGGAAATGGTCATTTCTTAAATTAGCTTTTTCTGTTTCTTTTAACATAGTAGTTTGTACCAACTCAATTACCAACATAAGGATCATCTCTTGAATTATTTTCAGTTTTTCATTTGTTCTAACATCCTGCAGTAAGTAGTAGCTAAGCAATCTAAAACTTCGATTTATCCTGGTTTTAAAATAATACATGGCAATATACAACTTGGTCTAAGGAAAATGTATATTGTAGGAAAAACATATTAAAATGATGCCTCTGAGAATATGGAAAGTAGTCCCCACTTTTTATTTACTAGGAAAAGACCCAGCAAATAGAAGAGTCGAATAACTTATGTTTATGTGTTATAAAGAATTTTTTTCTTCCTTGTGTGATACGAATTTGTTAGGTAGTAAACTAGGAAAGAGTATATGTTTGAACTTTCTTGATACTACAGATTGAGGTGGAATTTCACTGTGGCTAGATTCTTTAGGAGATATGAAACAGACATGATAAAGTATACATTTGAAGTGACCTAGAGGTGGGAAGCATAGGTAATTATTACTCTTTGCAAGGACCATTCTAGCTATGAAAAGGAACTGGAGAGAGGGAAGAGAGAGTCACAGGTAGTTCCTGGATTTATTCCTGGAAATTTACTTTTAAAGAACAAATAAGAAATTGTACAACCAAGGAAGGCACATGCTTTTGTTGCAAAAGTCTAACTATCAATAGGGGCCACTAATTGCTATGGAATGTTCTGGGCCACTTTTCTAGCTGAGGGGAAGGATTATGTCTTCTGCTTGAAAAATAGAGAGCTAGAGACAGAAAGGTCAAAATAAAGATAGACTGTCCACCAACCCAATGCAACCAAATATTTAACATAAACCCTTCTGCCCTCCAAAGGTCAGAGCCAAACAAGCTACACTCTTTGGGAACTTAACTGAGTTTTCATTATGTCAGTATGTCCTAGAATCATAGATTTTCTTGGCTGGAGATCAGCCCATATTTGGAAACGATAAAGCTCTATCTATGCACTTGATGTCAGAAGCAATCCTGAACCCAATGTACCTTAACATTTATGGAATACATCTGCCACAAGCTGTCTACACAACAGCGTGACAGATTAAAAAGAAACACCAGAACTATGCAGAGGAGGGACTGGATCTTATCAGTGAGACAGAAAGATATGCTTACGTGGACTCTAAAACGCTCCGCGGTATCTAACTTTATTTCTTTGACACCTAAAACGGGATGCAACCTTCAAGCATGACCGATCTGTTATTTTTAAACAGAGGGGAAAATCTGGCAATGTAAATAGAAAGTATCTGTTTACATAGGTTTTTTAGAATTTGATCTGAAATTTTAGCAAGTTGCAGAATGGGTTGTGAAGCACAACATTTCATCTTTTTGATTCTAGACACTATCCTCAGAAATTAGATTTGAAAAATGAGCTTCATTTTCGAAGAACATATTGTAAGTAATAATAATAATAGAATTGACTTATTTAAATCGGTCATAATGATATAAGAAATCTTAGAAACTTGTTTAATTTTCCTGGGAATCTAATATTCTTATTTTAGGTTATTACACACAGAGATTATTAATATAGTTTTAAGTTAATTGACTTTTCATGCTGTAACTTTAGTTGCCACTATACAGATTTTCAATTGCAAAGAAAGCTCTCTAGGGGTTATTTTCCCTTAATTTCTTTGTATTATTTAATATGTATTTTAACTCCTTTTACTATCATTCCTAATCCTCTTAATTATAAACCTGAAATTTCTGTAATTGCCAGCCAATGAATGGGAGTGCTTGGACTGTGACCTGCACATCCAAGCAGTCTGACTTTCCATGGGCACAGTTACTATGTGATGAAACTATAGCATTTACTTATGCTCAAATATATAAATATATATCATATATAATATATGATATACATGTATATCATATATAATATATGATATACATGTATATCATATATAATATATGTATATCATATATACATGTATATCATATATACATGTATATCATATATAATACATGTATATCATATATAAATAAATATAACATTTATTTATACTCAATTATGTTATTTTCTTTATTATACTTTAAGTTCTGGGTTATGTGTGCAGAGTGTGCAGTTTTGGTACACAGGTATACACGTGCCTTGGTGGTTTGCTGCACCCATCAACCTATCACCTACATTAGGTATTTCTCCTAATGTTATCCCTCCCCTAGCCCCCAACCCCCTGACAGGTCCCAGTGTGTGATATTCCCCTCCCTGGGTCCATGTGTTCTCATCATTCAACTCCCACTTATGAGTGAGAACATGCGGTGTTTCATTTTCTCATCTCGTGATAGTTTGCTGAAAATGATGGTTTCCAGCTTCATCCATGTCCCTGCAAAAGACATGAACTCATTGTTTTTTATGGCTGCATAGTATTCCATGGTGCCACATTTTCTAAATCCAGTCTATCGTTGATGGACATTTGGGTTGGTTCCAAGTCTTTGCTACTGTGAATAGTGCCACAATAAATATATGTGTGCAGGTGTCTTTATAGTATAATGATTTATAATCCTTTGGGTATGTGCCCAGTAATGGGATTGCTGGGTCAAATGGTATTTCTGGTTCTAGATCCTTGAGGAATCACCACACCGTCTTCTAAAACATGTATTCATATTAGGATATTTCAGCAGGAATAATAACAAAGTTTCCCCATTCCTACTAATCTGTTTATCAAATCAGTAAAAACAAAACAAAACAAAACAAAAAGACATAAAAACCACAATAGACAGTTGAGAAATAACTTGAATGAATCAACAGGTCACAAAAAAGCTGATTGAAAAAATATGCAACCTCGCCAGAATTCAACTATACAAAATAAAATTTAAAAATATTTTAGAATGTTATAAACTGTCCTAAATAAATAATCATGTACTTTTATATTATAAAATTTGTAGCAAATGATAATATGAAAATGATATATTTTAAAGATTAGGTAACTTTGAGCAAAGTTTAAAAGACCACAAATATTTGGGTAAAATAAGAGAGCATCTTCATTAACCTGTAACAATTATGAATCTTAATTCTTCTGTTCCTTACAGATTTAAACAGAGGGTTTTTTCTCTCAAGTTTTTTTCAGAGTTCCTCAACTGTTGGAGTTAAAAATGTTACTGTACCCTTTCTCATTTTAATACTTATCTATGATCTCAGCTTACCTTTAACTTAGCTAGTAAAGTAATTTCCCAGAGGGTTAACTCATTTCTTCAGAGTTCTAACTTTTCCTTTCTTATGGAATTTGACAGAAAGAGACCATCGTTGTATAGGTCCTGCTTTTTTCATAGAAAAAAGCAAAAGCAAATCCCACGATATCTTTCTTCTTCAAAAAAAAAAAAAATGTTTAAGAGACCACTATTACAGTATCTTTCAGTCTGCTTCCAAGTTTTAGCCCTTCTTATGCTGCAGCAGCACACTGGAAAGATGAACTCAGAGTGGTTCTGGTGTTTATAGTCCAGGAATCTTTTTGTCTCCTTTGATACACAAAATAGGATATGGATAGACTCCTCCTTGATCCCAGCTATAAACATCAATTAACAGAGAAATGTACACTAATTATTTTTATTACTTCTCTTGATATGTAGGCTCTTTGTGGAAGGGAACATGAGAAAATTAAATTTGACTAAGTAAAAATAGTTCCAAGTCTCAGGAGATGTTTTTTAATGGTGACAAAATGAAAACTAGAAGGAGTCATTAGGCAATTACCTGACCAGTTCTATTTCTGCCCTGAGTACATTATGCCAGGGGCTTAGTACAGAATCTGGAATGAGAAAATTCAGAATCCCTCAGAATTTTTCTGCCACTCAGAGTTCTCTCTGATTTTATTTCTGTATTAAGTCTCCTTGTGATTCATATTAAGACTTTATATTTTTGGGCCTCTAGAACCTCATAACCTGTTAATGCTTCTCAATAAAATTACAATGTTTAATGAATTTGTGTGGCAAGAAAGGGAAAAGGGGCAGTTTTTCCAACTTCAAGGGAATTCAATTAGAGGAATTCTTTTATATTTTATTATTATCTCTTTATTAATCTATTCTATTTTTAAAAGAAAAATACGTTGTTCCTTCGTGAAGTAATTAGCTTTTTTTTTTTTTTTTTTTTTTTTTTTGCTGAGGCAGGAGAATGGTGTGAATGGTGTGAACCTGGGAGGCGGAGCTTTTTTTTTAATTAAACTTTAAGTTCTAGGGTACATGTGCACAATGTGCAGGTTTGTTACATATGTATACATGTGCCATGTTAGTGTGCTGCACCCATTAACTCATCATTTACATTAGGTATATCTCCTAATGCTATCCCTCCCCCCCGCCCCCCACCCCACAACAGGCCCCATTGTGTGATGTTCCCCTTCCTGTGTCCAAGTGTTCTCATTGTTCAGTTCCCACCTATGAGTGAGAACATGCGGTGTTTGTGTTTTTGTCCTTGGCAATAGTTTGCTGAGAATGATGGTTTCTTTAAGAAAAGTGTCTCTTTCTGTATATTTTGAAATCAATGATTTTCTTTAGGGTGACTTGTATCACACAGGATTTTAAACTAACAAAGATCATGCCTCAGAATAGAAGCATGATCTGAACATTTATTTTTGTATTTGTCAATATTTGCTCTGGACTAAGGCTGCTTTAGTCAGAGATCATCACTGTTCTTTTGCGGTTTATTTTTCTTTTTCCTTTGAATAGTTCCCAACTGGAGTTGGGAGAGAAGCTTCTTTCTTCTATGGCTGTGAAGCTACTTAAGATAAGTTTGGAGGTCTTGGAGGACAAGTCTATGGAGTACACCAGTTTAAAACTGAAAACAAAAGAGGATGAGAACACAAGTTCTGAAATATGAAAACCTCTGCCTCAAGTTATTCCCCAGGGCGATTTCATTGTTGCCCTCTTTATAATTGTATCATGTCAACCAACATTTCCCCTTTTCTCCTGAATCTACTTTGAGTTTGGTTTATATTCTTTGCAATTGAGAAAGTCCTGACTAAAAAGTGCTCTTCAGTCTTTGACTATAATAAAAACTTAAATTTTGGTTTTCCTCTCTGAATATACAAATACAAAAGCCTTAATTCTGAAACAAAGAATACCTTGACATGGTGAATTCACAGTATTGTAACCCCCACTGTATCCTGCTGATGAAAATGATTATGGATAAACTAAAACATGGGGGAAAATGAATGACTATCTCACAGAATCTTAAAAGCTTTTGAAAATATTAACATTTCCCACTTCCTTGTTTTAAATGTAAACGATACAAAATGTCTAACTCCTGCTATTCCGCTCTCTTGGGAGAGCTGGCAGTACTGCCACAGCTGTGTATGCAGAGCTCTGAGGAGGACATTGACACCTTTGCCTAATTAATGCGCAGCTTTGCTGAACTTCTGTCCAATCTCTGACAATGCCAGCAGTGATAAGGGACCATTATGGTCTAATGAGCATGGAAAAATTGGAAATCCAAGCCTCCTATGGAAATGTTAAAGCCCATCTACTAATGTGGGGGAGAAAAGGTCTTAAGCCATTCATTCTATTCATTATACATGTATTTTTGAATTAGTAAAAAAAATCTTATAATTTGATAGCTCTATTATGTAAGTGTATTTTTTAGTTTTTAAACTGCAAGCTGTGTTGACTAGTCACAGCAGGGAGGAACAAATAAATTAATCTTTCTTTTCATCAAGAAGCAAAACTGAGTAGGTCTAAATCAAGCTTTTTCTCTTTGGCTTTAATGAGGTATAATTGGCAAATAAAAATTGTATACATAAGGTACACAATGTGATGTTTTGATACATGTATACATTCTGAAATGATTAGCACCATCAAGCTAATTAACATATCAATCACTTCACATAGTTACCTTTTTTTATGGTGGGAATACTTAAGATGTATTCTCTTAGCAAATTTCAAATATACATTATTATTAATGATTGATAGGCATCATGCTGTCACCAGAACTTTTTCATCTTATAATTGAAAGTTTGTACCCTTTGACCAACATCTCCCCATTTCCCCCAACCTGCCCCTCTGCCCCCCTGCCCCACAACCACTATTCTATTCTGTCTCTTTGTATTTGATTTTTGTCTTTTATAGTTTCCACACATAAGCAAGATCATGAACCATCTTTCTATGTCTGGATTATTTCATTTAACATAATGTCCTCCAGGTTAATTTACGTTGTTTAAAGTGACAGGCTTTCCTTCGTTTTAAAGGCTGGCTGATAATTCATTGTGTATATATATCATAATTTCTTTATTCATCCATCGACAGACACTTAGGTTGATTCTATATCTTGGTTATTGTGAAAAATGTAGATACGTCTTTGAGACAGTAATTTCATTTTCTTTGAATATATACACAAAACTCAAAATAAATTAAAGATTTAAACATAAGAACTAAAACTATAAAACTCCTAGAATGAAACAGGGGAAAAACTGTATAACATTATATATGACACCAAAAGTTCAAGCAATACAAGCAAAAATAAGAAAGTGGAACTACATAAAACTAGAAAGTTTCTGTACAATAGAGAAAACAATCAACAATAAAAAGGCAACCCACAGAATGGGAGAAAATATTTGCAAACCATATATCTGATAAGAGGCTAAGATCCAATATATATAAGAAACTCATACAAATGAATAGCAAAAAAACCCAAAAAATTCCTGAATAACTTGATTTACACATGAGCAAAGGTCCTGAATAGATATTTTTCCAAATAAAATACAAAAATGGCCAACATGTGTAAAAAAAGTACTCGACATTACCGATCATCAGAGAAATGCAAATCAAAACCACAGCAAAATATCATCTCGCACTTATTAAGATGGCTATTATCAAAAGACAAGTGGTAACAAGTGTTTTTGAGGTAAAAATGTGAAGAAAAGGGAACCCATATACATTGTTGGTGGAAATGTAAATTGTTACAGTCATTATGTGAAAACGTATGGAAGTTTCTCAAAAAATTAAAAATGGAATTACCATATAATCTAGCACTTCTAGGTAGAAAGCCAAAGAAAATAAAATTACTAATCAAGTGTTTTGTCTTAATAAGAGGTAGATGAAGGAAAGGTTGTTTAATCTTACTAATTGATATAAAACTGAAAAGTACATATGGTGCAATGTAAATGTTCATCATTAATGTTCACTCCCAGTCCATTATTAATTCATGGTATGTTACATTGATATTTAAGCTATTAAATTTACTTGGAAAATTATACAGAGGATACCTAACAAATGTCCTAATTGTTCTTTATCCATACCATTAAGTATCATAACTTGAACTTTCCAAACAAAGTGTTTGTGTATGGATATAATACTTAGTACTGTTGTGTTATTAGTATGCAAGTAAACAAGACAGATGATATCACTGCTCTCATAGGAAACATTCTGTTGAAGGAAAGCCTAATAAAAAACTTATCTATAGAATGGATTCAAGCAACAGTAGTGAGAGGTGACAGCATGCTGGCAGCCCTCTCTCACTCTCTGCACCTCCTCGGCCTCAGCGCCCACTCTGGCCTCACTTGAGGAGCCCCTCAGCCTGCCGCTGCACTGTGGGAGACTCTCTCTGGGCTGGCTGAAGCCGAAGCCAGCTCCCTCTGCTTGCAGGGAGGTGTGGAGGGAGAGGCGCAGGCAGGAACCAGGGCTGTGCCTGAGTTCCGTGTGGGTGTGGGCTTTGCAGACCCCACACTCGGAGCAGCTGGCCGGTGCCTCTGGCCCCAGGCAGTGAGGGGCTTAGCACCCATGCCAGCAGCTCCAGAGGGTGTGCTGGGTCCCCCAGTACTGCTGGCCAGACTGCGCTGCACTTGAATTCTCACAGGGCCTCAGCCATCTCCCCGTGGGGTAGGGCTCAGGACCTGCAGCCTGCCATGCCAGAGCCACCCCCCTCTTTCCCCCCGCCCCGTGGGCTCCCACACAGCCTGAGCCTCCCCGACGGGTGCCACCCCCTGCTCCAAGGTGCCCAGTCCCATCAACCGCCCAAGGGCTAAGGTGTGCAGGCATGTGGTGCTGGACTGGTGGACAGCTCCACCCGCAGCCCCAGCAGGGTATCCACTAGGGGAAGCCAGCTGGGCTCCTGAGTCAGATGGGGACTTGGAGAACTTTTATGTCTAGCTAAAGGATTGTAAATACACCAATCAGCACTTTGTGTCTAGCTCAAGGTTTGTAAATGCACCAATCAGCACCCTGTGTCTAGCTCAAGGTTTGTGAATGCACCAATCAGTGCTCTGTGTCGAGCTAATCTCGTGGGGACTTGGAGAACTTTTGTGTCTAGCTCAGGGATTATAAACGTACCAATCAGCACTCTGCCAAAACGGACCAATCAGTTCTCTGTAAAAGTGACCAATCAGCTCTCTGTAAAATGGACCAATCAGCAGGATGTGGGTGGGGCCAGATAAGGGAATAAAAGCTGACTGCCGGAGCCAGCAGTGGCAACCCACTTGGGTCTCTTTCCACCGTGTGTCAGCTTTGGTCTTTTGTTCTTTGCAACAGGTCTTGCTGCTGCTCCCTCTTTGGGTCCGCACTGCCTTTATGAGCTGTAACAGTCACCGCGAAGGTCTGCAGCTTCAATCCTGAGGCCAGCGAGACCACGAACCCACCAGGAGGAATGAACAACTCCGGATGGGAGGAACGAACAACTCCGGATGGGAGGAACGAACAACTCCAGACGCGCGCCGCTTTAAGAGCTGTAACATTCACTGCGAAGGTCTGCAGCTTCACTCCTGAAGCCAGCGAGACCATGAACCCACCAGAAGGAAGAAACTCCGAACACGTCCGAACATCAGAAGGAACAAACTCCAGACACACCATCTTTAAGAACTGTAATACTCACCGCGAGGTTCGGCAGCTTCAGTCTTGAAGTCAATGAGTCCAAGAACCCACCAATTCTGGACACAGTAGGATAGTGTGTTATGAAGATGTATTTATTAGGAGGTAAGCCTCCTCGAAAAAATCAAAAGACCTTTGTTGCACCAAATTCCTTGCTATAATGATTCCTGTTAGAGTGAAACGCCTATTTGCTTCCAGAGTATAAATTTCATTCCAATTGGAGGAAAAGGCTTAAATGACTTCAAGAAACACATTGTAAATTTGCCACCTCTTTTGCATTTTCCTGAGATATTTTCCTCAAGGAATTGACGTGCAAATCACCAAGGTCTACATATTTTTCCCATTACCTACAAAAGTAGTGACTATACCAATTAGAAATTTTGTTCACTAGTAAAAAATCAATAAGAGTACACTGCTTGGACACTTACATAAGAAGTTATAATTTTTTTTTCTTTCTGAATCATTTCTCCTAAGCCGTTTTCTACTGACAGGAGTCTGTCTCTTCACATTAGTGACAGGAAGAAATAATTAAGTGTAAGTTGTCACTTGTGATCGGAAGATCCATGAAGTAAAAGTGAACTAAGTGGGGCAGATGAAATCCTGGCTGTCCTCTCTACATCTGCTGAAATAGACTTAGGAATCATCTCTGAAACATTCCCACTTCTAATTTCCAGAATTTATGTGGATTACAAATGAGAATAATCTAGATTTTTCTTGTAGAATCTTGAAGAGGCATTCTTTATTTTTAATCACTTACCCTTAGGAATATCCTCAGAATGTGCCTGAAATTAGGACAAATCTATGTATTATAGTTAGAGTGAAATATTAGTAATTGTTTAATGTCACTACGCCTAACTTAACTGTTAGTGTGAATTTTGAGTGGATAAATAAGGAATATTTATTGCTCTCATTGTTCATTCATTCAACAAGCATTTAGTGAATACCTTCCATATACCAGAGATTTTTCAAGTAATTGAGAAAATAAAGATAATTAAGATAGTTCACCTCAAGTTTCTCCCAGTTTAGAAGAAGATAAATTAGAAAATTGATGGTTAGAATATAGCATGGTCAGAGCTATGGGAAAAGAGAATATCATATGAGACTGGTGAACAGACATGAGGATGCAATGCTTGTTCTTGGTCTGGAAGGATACTTTGGAGCTATTTAGGAGACTAATGATGGAAGACTTTGCTGGGTTGGGTAAAATGTAGCAACTGCAATAATAGAGAAAATTGCAGAAAAAAGGCCAGTGTCTGTCTATTCTGGCTGCTGTAACAAAAATACCCTAGACTGGATGGCTTATAAACAACAGAAATTTATTTCTCATATCTCTAGATCCTGGAATGTTCAAGATTAAGGTGCTGGCTGATTTAGTGTCTTTTGAGGGCCTGTTTCTTGTTGCTTCGTGGGATGGTGTAAGGAACAAAGCAACTTTCTGGGCCATCTTTTATAAAGGCACTAATACCATGCACAAGGGCTCTGCACTTACGATCTAATCACCTACCAGAGGCCCCACCTCCTGATATCATCACCTTGAGAGCGAGGATCTCAACATATAAATTTTAGGAGAACACAAATAGACCATAGTCACCAACAACTGCAAAGTCAAGTAGATATGAGGCTGCACCTCTGGGGAGCAGCAAGTAATGTGGTCTAGCTGGGGAGAAGGGTAAGGAAGGAATAATGTAGGAGGTGAGCCTGAAGAAAGAGAGGCAATGGTCAGATCATAAAGCCTCAAATGCTTCCCTGAGAAGTTTGCATTTTATTCTGAAGATTATAGGAGGGCACTGTAGATTTCCAAACATGGCTAGTTTTGTATTTTACAAGGATTACTCTGGTATTAAGATATTAGCAAGACTGGGGATAAGGGACCAGTTAAGAAGAGAAAAAGAAGGAATGAAGATGCCCTCCCTTCATCTCCATCTTTTTAATGGAAAGATGGTTGTGCTTCTACCTGAAAATGGAAATAATGAGAAGAAGCGACTTTCTTCTTTGGGAGGTGGAGGATGAAGAGAAAGGCCAAGTTCAATGTGAGTATTCCAGTTTCAAAGGCATATACAACATGTAAATTGGACAGTGAGATAAAAAGGGGATAGGAGCTTAGAGAAAGTATGGCTTAGAAATAGATCATTGGCATTATGATCATATGGGTATTAGTCTTATTAGTTCTGGCAACCTCCATTTCTATCAGGCTTATGCTGTATGAGTGCTCTGTTATGGGTTTGCCTATTTTCACTGTTGGTAAGAATCATCTAAGGTATTCACTATAAGAGGTTCTTTTTTTTTTTTTTTTTGAGATGGAGTCTCGCTCTGTCGCCCAGGCTGAGGTGCAGTGGCGCCATCTCAGTTCACTGCAACCTCCACCTCCTGGGTTCAAGCAACTCTCTGCCTCAGCCTCCCGAGTAGCTGGGATTACAGGCGCCAGCCACCATGCCCGGCTGATTTTTTGTATTCTTAGTAGAGATGGGGTTTCACCATCTTGGCCAGGCTGGTCTTGAACTCCTGACCTTGTGATCCACCCACCTCAGCCTCCCAAAGTACTTTAAAAAAGAAATGAAGATATTATCAGTTCTATTCCCAGAATGAGTGAATCAAAATCTCCAAGAAAAGGCCTGGAGACATGCTTGTCTTATTTTGTTTTATAAATAACACCTTCAGAGGATTTTGCCAGCATGGAATTCTGGGATCTGCTTGTGTAGTAGCAACATTTGTTAAGCACCTACTGTGTTGTAGGCACATGACTCAAAGATTTATACACATAAGGACTCTATCCCTTACAATAGCTGTCCCTAACCTTTTTGGCACCAGGGACTGGTTTTGTGGAAGACAATTTTTCCACGGACTGGGTGGTGGGGTGGTTTTGGGATAATTCAAATGCATTACATCTATTGTGCACTTTATTTACATTATTATTACATCATGATATATAATAAAATAATTATACAGCTCACCTTTGGGAGGCCAAGCCAGGTGGATCACCTGAGGTCAGGAGTTCAAGATCAGGCTGGCCAACATGGCAAAACCCATCTCTACTAAAAATACTAAAAATTAGCCCAGCATGGTGGCAGGTGCCTGTAATCCCAGCTGCTTGGGAGGCTGAGGAAGAGAGTTGCTTGAACCTGGGAAATGGAAGTTGCAGTGAGCAGAGATTATGCCATTGCACTCCAGCCTAGGCGACAGAGTGAGACTCTCTAAAAAAAAAAAAAAAAAAAAAAATTATACAGCTCATCATAATGTAGATTCAGTGGGAGCCCTGAGCTTCTTTTCTTGCAACTAGATGCTCCCATCTGGGGGCGATGGGAGATGGGGACAGATCATCAGGCATTAGATTCTCACAAGGAGAACATAAGCTAGATCCTTCACATGAGCAGTTCACCATAGGGTTTGTGCTCCTGTGAGAACCTAATGCTGCTGATGTGACAGGCGATAGAGCTCAGGTGGTAATGCGAGTGATGAGGAGTGGCTGTAAATACAGATGAAGCTTCACTCACCTCCTGCTGTGTGGCCCAGTTCCCAACAGGCCACAGACCTGTACCAGTCCATGGCCCCGGGGGTTGGAGACCTCTGCTTTATAGCACATAACAAAATAAGTATTATCATCCCTGTTTTAACATGAGGAAACTGACATTCATAGTCTTGCTCAAGGTCTCAAAACTAATGAATGGAAACAGCAACTCCTACTGATTCCAGTGTCTGTACTCTTTACCTTAAAATACATCTTGTCCTGCTTTGTGTTGAAGAATGCCTAGAATGACATATGAAAGGTATTTTCTCTTAGCAAAGAACATATTGTATGCCAAAGGAAATTTAAAAATTCAAATGAAATTATCTTTATGTGTCTGCTAAAAGTAGACCATCTTTAGTGCTGAAATTCCCTAACATATCTCTCCTTCCTTGCAATAATGTTGCAATATATTCAGATTTGCTAAACAGTACCTATATCCTCAGATGCTTTGCTTCAAATCCTTTAAATATTTTCTCTATTATTTTTGTCTTTTACTTCTCATCTCTTTTCCTTCTCTTGCCATAAGATAGAAGCCACTAGCCACTGAATACTGGTCAACTTCAAGCCAAAGGTGACTAAACAAAATGGGGATAGGAAGGTAGGCTTCCAAAGGATGAACAGAATGGGAGAGGAAGAGTGTTGATACTTAAACTCAGAGCCATGCTTTAATAAATTATATGGCTTAATTGTTTAAAGCACCTGATTAAGCTGTATTTCAATATTAAATACTTTCGGCTACATTTGTCTTCTGTTCAACAAGTACAAACACATTTTTCTCACTACATGTGTCCCGTTAACAATTAGGCTACTTTGACATTTAATGGTCTGAGTGTCCTCATTCAAAATAATGTGCCCTGCATGTTCTTGTGATGCTAAAAAACTGTAGAAGTTAGGTCATATGTTTTAGCTTGCTGTTCTTCCTGAGGGTTATAGTGCGGCAAGCTCTTCTGTGCATGACCATCAGTCCACCAATACTTATCAAAGGCACACAGGGTACAGGATCATACCCCATGTTATAGAGTGGTAAGTTAAGAAAAGCAAAGATAATATCTGACAGGTTTAAAAATAGAGGAAATAGAGCACATCCAATCAGGGGTCCTGGAATCATAGAAGAGGCTCAAGAATCTGGTGGCGATAAAGTCAAGTAAGCATTCTGGTGTCTGTGTAGAGACAAAATGTCGGACATAGGGTATCATAAATGGGTAACATCAAAGGGCAAGAAGTTCTGTGCTACGAACTTCAAAGCCTGTGAATGAAACATCTTGTAATGCTGTAATGCAAGAAAGTAAAGACATACTTAAATAATAATGAGGACACGTTACAAAATCCTAAGAGGTATTTTGAAAGAGCTCCCACTAGTTAAATCTGGAACAATTTGAGCATCAATATAATGACCATAAGAAATCACAACCCATTAAATAGGAGTACCTGAGTCCATGCAAATATTAATTAAGTAATCAACCAATTATGAAGAAATGTTCTTTCTTATAGTACAATGTAGTATTAGATGTATAAAGAATGATACAATTGGAAAATCATAATTTGGCAACCATCAAAATGATAAAGGAGTGAGACAAAAATCACCAATTGTCTCAGTTTGTTCAGGCTGCTATAACAAAATACCATAAACTAGGTGGACTCTAAGAACAACAGAAATTTATTTCTTGCAGTTTTTGAGGCTGAGAAGGCCAAGATCAAGCTGCAGGCAAATTCAGCATTTTCTGAGGGCCTGCTCCTGGGTTCATAGATGGATATCTCATTGTGTCCTCAAATGTCTTATGTGTCCTCAAGGGGCAAGGGAGTGCTCCAGAGTCTCTGCTATAAGGGCACTAATTCCATTCATGAGGTCTCCACTCTCATGACCTAATCACCTAACAAATGCCCTATCTTCTAATACCATCATATTGGGAGTTAGGATTTCTACATAGGAATTTTGAAGTGACATAAAAACATTTGCCAAAACTAGTGAGGGGACGTTTAATGAGAAATAAGACATTTACCTAGCTGGCCTCAAAGTATCCTATCACAAGATATCTATTAGTTACAAAGTGAAAAATAGCAACCTGAAAGTGGATAAACTTTGCAGACACCACCTTTACCAAGTGATTAAAGTTAACATTATCAATAATAGCATAAGACAACATTAAGTGCCTTCTGATATGACACACTGGGAATAGTACGTTACTTCTGTAGTATTGTTTCTTTTTTGAGACATAACCTGAATTATTCATGAGGAAACAGTAGATAAACATCAAGAATCATTAATTAAAAACATAAGTTGACTGTATTCTTGAGAGTTATCATGTTATAAAAGACGAAGACTGGAACTGTCCCAGATTAAAAGAGACTCAGGAGACACAACTGATTGCAAAAGGATCACCTTTTACTATAAAGTACTTGATTAGGGCAAATGGTGTCATCTGAACAAGGCCTATGTATAGTACTATATATAGATAACAGTACTAAATCAATGATGCTCTCTTGATTTCAAAAAGTGCCCTGCAGTTATATGAGGGAATATCTTTGTTTTAAAGAAATATACCCTGAGGTATGTGAGGTAATTAGTGGTAATGAATAATGTCAGCTACTTACTCTCAAATACTCAAAAATGGACAGTTGATGGGTAGATAGAGAAATCAAAGGTGGAAAAATATCATTTGAAAAATCTATATGAATATGGAAATATTTTGTAAAATTCTTATAACTTTTTTTGGAAATCTAAAATTACTTCATAATAGAACATTTAAAACAACATAAAATTGAAAATTGTCAAATTTAATTATATGTATTTGTTCTCGCTATCTATTGCTGCATAACAAATAATCTAAAACCTTTCAATTTAGAATAACAAACTTTTTTATATCTTATGATTTGGTGGGTAGGAATTGGGGCAGGGCTCAGCTGGATGATTCTTCTACTCTTTTGAGGTACTGACTGAGATCAGTTGGTGCTATTCAGCGGCCAGCTGGTTTGCTCCAGCTGGAAGGATCCATATCAGCTTCACTCATATGCCAGACATCTTGGCAGGGATAACTGGCAGGCAGGAATTAGTTGAAATAGTCGTCTGAAACACTTACGTGTAAATCAGATGTCTGACATGATATCTCAGGGCTGTAAGTGCAGGTTCCTAGAGACAGGAAGTGGAAACTGACAGTTTCTTAAAGCCTAGATCCAGAGAGAATGGCACATGTCTGCCATATTTAATTATTCAAAATAGTCACAGAGCTCACCAGATTTAAGGACAGCAGACACAAAGTGCACCTCTCCATAAGAGGAGTGTCAAAGAATGTGTGAGCATCATTAATCGGCCAAAATCGTTGCCCATAAAAAACCTTTATTTCCTCCATTATTTGTTTGTGTTTTATATTATTGATTTATTATCTCATCTTTATTATTTCCTTCTGCTAGTCTTCAGTTTGTTTTGCTGTATTTTGTGTGTCTTGAAAAGGAAGCTTAGATTGTCCTCTTTTAGCTCTTATTTTTTCTAATAAATAGATCCTAGACTTTAAATTTGTATCTAAACACTGCTTTAGCTGAATACCATTAATTTTCACATATAATATCTCAACTATCATTTAATTAAAAGTATTTTCTTTTTCTTTTTCTTTTTTTTTTTTAAGAGAGACCGGGTCTCACTCTGTTCCCAGGCAGGTGTGCAGTGGCATAATCAGCTCATTGCAGCCTCTAACTCTTGGGCTCATGCAATCCTCCTACCTAAGACTCGTGAGTAGCTAGAACTATAGACATGCACCACCACACTCACCTAACTTTTTCTGTGTGTACAGATAGGATTTTGCTATGTTGCTCAGGCTAGTCTCAAACTCCTGGCCTCAAGTGATCCTGTCACCTCGACTTCCCAAAGCACAGGCATGAGCCATGGTGCTTGGTCTGTAATCTCCATTATAATTTATTTTTTGATTCCTGGATTTAAAAGTGTCTAGTTTCCAAGGGTTGGAAATGTCCTAATCATCTTTCAGTTACTAATTTTTAACATAAATTTATTCCAGTTAGAAAAACTAAAAATTATTCAAGGCTTTGAAATACGTCAATATTTACTATATGACCCAGGATCTTATTAATTTTTAAAATGTTTCATCTGCAATTAAAATAATGTGGATTCTATCATTGTTGGGTGAAACAGTCTACATATATTTATTCAGTCAAGTTGGTTAATTGTGTTTCTAAGATTTTCTCTATCCTTTGAGAATTTTTGTTTACTTTTTAAAAGTAACTTCACAAGAGATGTGTTAAGGTCTTTTATTATGATTGTAGATTTTTCTATTAAAATGTTTAGTTATATAATTTTTCTACTAAATTTTTAGTTTTAGATTTTTCTATTAAAATGTTTAGCTATATCAATTTTTTACTGTATGTATTTAATAATTTTTTACTGTATGTATTTAATAATTACACTATTGGTGGATAAAGATTTGGGATTTATGTTCCTAGGAGACTGACCTTTTTATCATTTTGAAATGTAAATCCCTTTAGCTACTAATACAAATTGTCATAAGAATCTACTTTTTCTAATGTCAATATAGCTAAGCCAAATATTTTTGGTAAGTACTACTTGCATGATATACCTTTTACATTTTACTTTCAACTTTTCTGTGTCTTTCTATTTAAGATGCACTCATCGTCATATAGTTCGATTCTGATATTCTAGGTCTTAATTGGATTATTTACTCAATTTACATTTAATGTTATTATAGATATAGTTATTTTCTATTTCATCCATCTATTTTATATTCTCGTTACTATCTTTTCTTGCTATCTTTAGGTCAAATAACTATTTTACTATTCATATTTTCTCTCCATTAGCATTTTGAAACTATTCCTTCAGTGATTACCCTAGGAACTTAACTATGCATACTTGACTTAATGTAGCCTAATATAAATTATTATTTTAAACTTTATGCACTTATAAAGATGTCTCTAGCTATAAGAGTATGAGACACAAATTAAGCACTTAATATATATCTATGATATTATAGAAGGAGGGAAGTAATATTTAAAAGAGCAGATAAAGTGAGACTGCAAAGTGTAAACATTTTAATTAGAGCTTTCAAATTCTTAAAATATTTGCCTTCTGTGTTCTTCAATCTCTCAGAACTTACATTACTTTACAAGTGTTTCTCAAAGTACTGACTGTGAACTACCTGCAATAAAATACTGAGAGTGAGGAAGAGGGGTTGTGCTTGTTAAAAATGTCAATTCCTGGGATCTGGTCTGTGCATAAAAATTAGAAATTATGCATGCTTGATTTCAAGAACCTACCAGTCGTATGAAAGTATTGTATAATTAATCCAGTTGTTCCTATTGACTTAACAATATGAACTAATACTAGTTCTAAATGGGTCATGCATCTTCATGTCAGGATGCCTGGATTAAAATTCTAGTCTTTACTACTTATAAAGTATGTGACCTTGGGCAAGTTACCTTATATCTCTAACCTTTAGTTTCTCATTGTGTTCAATAAATGTAATAGCATATACCTCATATATTCATTGTGAGAATTAAATATATGTAGAGTACTCAGAATAGTACTTGACTTATAGCAAGTATTTAAGAAATGCTGTTTTTATATTACATTATCATTAATAAAAATGATTCTATTCTAGTTTTATGCCACCGTTCTACAGGTAAAAAATATTAAAAATTTGGGTGTACCTGAACTGAACATTAATTTTCTGAAGTTGATTTTCCTGATATCAATTTATTTTGTTATATTCGGTCTCTGATTCCCCTAAGTATAATTTCAGAAGGAAAAAAATCTAGGTAATTGATTGTTCTAATCAGTTACATTTTGTTGATAAAAGCTTTGCTGAATTTATTATCCCTAATTTCAGTAAATTCACAGAAACAATCTATCATTTATTTAATTGCTAGGATACACTCTCTTTTGGAACACATCTTCCAGCAATTCATGAGTAAAATAGGACCTGGAAATTATGCTGTCATAGTTGTGGATAAATGGTCTGGTTTAACTGCTAGTGAGACAGATGAAAAAATTATTCTCAACTCCATGAGCAACACTATTGGATAAGGTACCTGTACCATTATCCGTTAAAGTACCATTTTAATTTAAAACTGCATTTTAATTGCATCATGGGTACTCATAATGAGTCTGAGTTTGGCAAAGCTAGAAGGATTGGTGCTCAAGGAGATGAAAGAAAAAGATCCAACACTCTGTGGAAAAGACCATTCAACCACAGGGCACCTCAAAATAACTATTTTCATTCTAGCCTTAGTGCATGTAAAAGAAAATACTTCTCTCAGCTGCTGTACAGTATAGCTGCAAGTGGTTTCCAAATCAAGGTATTATGTTTGCCTTGACCCAAGTGAATTCCAAGGAATACAAGTTCTGGAAGATGTCAGTACACATTCCAAAAATGATAATATCTATAGCCAAGAGACTTTGGAAAAAAAAAATGTGTTAAACTAAGTTAACTTTTTACTGTGAAAAGATAAAAATAAAGCTTTTTATCATTTGTCAACGTAAAATATGATTTTCCAGAGGCTATACTTACCCTATGCTTTCCAAATTATTTGATTATGAAGTTAAACTTTGTCCCCACAGAGCCTCTCACAGAACTTATGCTCACAGAACACACACTTGATGGGAAACTCTGTTCCAGTGAATAAGAAAGACAGAAAATACCAAGGAAGTATGTCTTTATATTAAGGAGAGAAAAGTATCATTTCCTTCAATGATTGAGGGAAAATACAACCAAGAAATTGTAATTGGTAAGGGAGAACACTTTAGAAAAACTTTATGAAACTGTATTTAAAATTTTTTCCAACCAACGCCCAGATCTTGGTTTCTCCAGTAAGATGAAGCAGGGCTCCTTGGAGATATGGATAATCCTAGGGCTTGGCCAGGAAAAATACTAGATGACCCTGGCACATCTTATAATGACAGAAAATAGGAAGTGTTAAAAAATTAAGAACACAATAATAGATGCATGTCAAAGGGATATTAGAGACAACTGAAAGAACTCCCAAAGGTCAAAGGCAGAAAAATTTAACCAACAAAATAAATACATTAGTATCGGGTTATAACCCACAGTATAAAATAAATGTATGTGAGCCCATATTGATATAAACAGGCCATTGAATAAATAAATAAATAGGGAGAAGAGACAAATCTTTCTTACAGAAAAGTTCCAAATGATGTATGTGAATACTTTCTATTCAGGAAGTGGAGCCAAACACTTATACAACCCATCCCCCAGACCTCTCCTATGTGGGGTGCACTTAGCAACTTGCTTCAAAAGTATAGAGCCTGAAAAGGGAGAATAAAAGTAACTCAAAATGGAGAAACCTGGCAAGAACTACCTGGACTAGATCATGGATAATACCACCAGTAGTAAGTCATGTTGATAGTGTGGACCTGTATTAGACTGCCAGGCCTGCCGTAACAAAATATCACAGCCTAGATTACAGAGCAAGATGGCTGAATAGGAACAACTCCAGTCTGCAGCTCCCAGTGAGACCAACGCAGAAGGCAGATGATTTCTGCATTTCCAACTGAGGTACCTGGTTCATCTCATTGGGACTTGTTAAGGCCTAGGGTGAGCAGAAGCAGGGTGGGGCATTGCCTTACCTAGGAAGTTCAAGGGTTCAGGGAACTCCTTCCTCTAGCCAAGGGAAGCTGTGAGGGACTGTGCCGTGAGAGATGGTGCTATCCGGCCAAGATACTACAATTTCGCATGGTCTTGGCAACCAGCAGACCAGGAAATTCCCTCAAGTGCCTACACTACGAGGTCCCTGAGTTTCAAGAACAAAACTGGGCGACCATTTGGGCAGACACCTAGCTAGCTGTAGCATTTTTTTTCTGTAACCCAGTGGCGCTTGGAACACCAGCGAGACAGAACCATTCACTCCCCTGGAAAGGGGGCTGAAGCCAGGGAGCTGAGTGGTCTCACTCAGCAGATCCCACCCCACAGAGCCCAACAAGCTAAGATCCACTGGCCTGAAATTCTTGCTGCCAGCACAGTAGTCTGAAGTTGATCTGGGATGCTAGAGCTTGGTGGGGGGAAGAACATCTGCCATTACTGAGGCTTGAGTAGGCAGTTTTCCCTTCACAGTGTAAACAAAGTGGCTCAATGTTCAAACTGGGTGCTGAACCCACCACAGCATGGCAAAGCCACTGTAGCCAGGCTCCCTCTCTGGGCAAGGCATCTCTGAAAGAAAGGCAGCAGCCCCAGTCAGGGGCTTATAGATCAAACTCCACCTCCCTGGGACAGAGCACATGGAGAAACGGGTGACTGTGGACGCAGCTTCAGCAGACTTAAATGTTCCTGCCTGCTGGCTCTGAAGACAGCAGCAGATCTCCCAGCACAGCACTTGAGCTCTGCTAAGGGACAGATAGCCTCCTCAAATGGGTCCCTGACCTCCGAGCCTTCTGATGGGGAGAAACCTCCCAGCAAGGATCAACAGACACCTCATGCAGGAGAGCTCCAGCTGGCATCTGGTGGGTGCCCCATTGGGACAAAGCTTCCAGAGGAAAGAGCAGGCAGTAATATTTGCTGTTCTGCAGCCTCCTCTGGTCATACCCAGGCAAACAGGGTCTGGAGTGGACCTCCAGCAAACTCCAGCAGACCTGCAGAAGAGGGGACTGATTTTTAGAAGGAAAACTAACAGAAAGCAATGGCATCCACATCAACAAAAAGAATGCCCATGCAAAAACCCCATCTGAAGGTCACCAACATCAAAGACCAAAGGTAGATAAATCCATGGAGATGAGGAAAAACCAGTGCAAAAAGGCTGAAAATTCCAAAAACCAGAATGCCTCTTCTCCTCTAAAGGGTCACAACTCCTTGCCAGCAAGGGAACAAAACTGGACAGAGAATGAGTTTGACAAATTGACAGAAGTAGGCTTCAGAAGGTGGGTAATAACAAACTCCTCTGAGCTAAAAGACCATGTTCTAACCCAATGCAAGGAAGTTAACAACATTGATAAAAGGTTACAGGAACTGCTAACTAGAATAACTAGAGAAGAACATAAATGACCTGATGAAGCTGAAAAACACAGCACGAGAACTTCATGAAGCATACACAATTATCAATAGCTGAATCGATCAAGCAGAATAAAGGATATCAGAGATTGAAGATCAACTTAATGATATAAAGCACAAAGACAAAATTTAGAGAAAAAAGAATGAAAAGAAATGGACAAAGCCTCCAAGAAATATGGGACTATGTGAAAAGACCGAAACTATGTTGGATTGGTGTACTGGAAAGTGACAAGGTTAATGGAACCAAGTTGGAAAACACACTTCAGGTTATTTTCCAGGAGAACTTCCCCAACCAAGAAAAACAGGCCAACATTCAAATTCAGGAAATACAGACACCACCACAATGATACTCCTTGAGAAGAGCAACCCTAAGACACAGAATCATCAGATTCACCAAGGTTGAAATGAGGGAAAAAATGTTAAGGGCAGCCAGAGAGAAAGATTGGGTTACCCAAAGGGAAGCCCATCAGACTAACAGCAGATCTCTCTGCAGAAACCCTGCAAGCCAGAAGAAAGTGGGTGCCAATATTCAATATTCTTAAAGAATTTTCAAACCAGAATTTCATATCTAGCCAAACTAAGCTTCATGAGTGAAGGAGAAATAAAATCCATTACAAACAAACAAATGCTAAGGGATTTGTCACCACCAGGCCTGCCTTAGAAGAGCTCCTGAATGAAGCACTAAATATGGAAAGGAAAAACCGGCACCAGCCACTGCAAAAACAAACCAAGATGTAAAGACCATTGACACTATGAAGAAACTGCATCAACTAATGGGCAAAATAACCAACTAGCATCATAATGACAGGATCAAATTCACACATGACAATATTAACCTTAAATATAAATGGGCTGAATGTCCCAATTAAAAGACACAGTGTGGCAAATTGGATAAATAGTCAAGACCCATTGGTGTGTTGTATTCAGGAGACCCATCTCACATGCAAAGACACACATAGGCTCAAAATAAAGGGATGGAGGAATATTTACCAAGCAAATGGAAAGCAAAAAAGCAGGGGTTGCTATCCTAGTCTCTGATAAAACAGATTTTAAACCAAAAAAGATTAAAAAAAAAAAAAGAAGGGCATTACATAATGGTAAAAAGATCAATGCAACAAGAAGCGCTAACTACACTAAATATATATGCAACCAACACAGGAGTACCCACATTCAGAAAGCAAGTTCTTAGAGACCTACAAAGAGCCTTAGACTCCAACACAATAATAGTGAGAGACTTTAACACCCCACTGTCAATATTAGACAGACCAACGAGACTGAAAATTAACAAGGATATTCAGGACTTGTACTCAGCTCTGGACCAAGCAAAACTAATAGACATCAACAGAACTCTCCACCTATTCTTCTCAGCACCACATAGAACTTATTCTAAATTTGGCCACATAATTGGAAGTAAAACACTCCTTAGCAAATGCAAAAGAAAGGAAATCATAACAAAACATCTCTCAGATCACAGTGCAATCAAATTAGAACTCAGAATTAAGAAACTCACTCAAAACTGCACAACTACATGGAAGCTGAGCAACCTGCTCCTGATTCACTACTGGGTAAATAACAAAATTAAGGCAGAAATAAATAAGTTCTTTGAAACCAAAGAGAACAAAGACACAACATACTAGAATCTCTGAGACACAGCTAAAGCAGTGTTTAGAGGGAAATTTATAGCACAAAATGCCCACAAGAGGAAGTGGGAAAGATCTAAAATCGAAACTCTAACATCACAATTAAAAGAACTAGAGAAGCAAGAGCAAACAAATTCAAAGGCTAGCAGAAGACAAGAAATAACTAAGATCAGAGCAGAACTGAAGGAGATCAAGACGCAAAAAAAAACCTTCAAAAAGATCAATGAATCCAAGAGCTGGTTTTTTGAAAAGATTAACAAAATAGATAGACTGCTAGCCTAACTAATAAAGAAGAAAAGACAGAAGAATAAAACAGACACGATAAAAGTGATAAAGGGAATATCACCACTGATCCCACAGAAATACAGACTACCATGAGAGAATACTATAAACATCTCTATGCAAATAAACTAGAAAATCTAGAAGAAATGGATATATTCCTAGACACATACACCCTCCCAAGACTAAACCAGGAAGAAGTCATATCCCTGAATAGACCAATAACAAATTCTGAAATTGAGGCAGTAATTAATTTCCTACTAATCAAAAAAAGCCCAGGACCAGACAGATTCACAGCCGAATTCTATGAGAGGTACAAAGAGGAACTGATACTATTCCTTCTGAAACTATTCCAAACAATAGAAAAAAGGGGATTCCTCCCTAACTCATTTTATGAGGCCAGCATCATCCTAATACCAAAACCTGGCAGAGAAACACAAAAAAGAAAATTTCAGGCCAATATCCCTGATGAACATTTATGTGAAAATCCTCAATAAAATACTGGCAAACCGAATCCAGCAGCACATTAAAAAGCTTATCCACCACAATCAAGTTGGCTTCATCCCTGGGATGCAAGACTGGTTCAACATATTCAAATCAATAAATGTAATCCATCACATAAACAGAACCAACGACAAAAACCACATGATTATCTCAATAGATGCAGAAAAGACCTTTGATAAAATTCAGCACTCCTTCATGCTAAAAACAGTCAAAAAACTAGGTATTAATGGAGCGTATCTCAAAATAATGAGAGCTATTTATGAGAAACCCACAGCCACTATCACACAGGATGGGCAAAAGCTGGAAGCATTCCCTGTGAAAACTGGCAGAGGACAAGGATGCCCTCTCTCACTACTCCTATTCAACATAGTATTGGAAGTTCTGGCCAGGGCAATCAGGCAAGAGAAAGAAAGAGTATTCAAATAGGAAGATAGGAAGTCAAACTGTCTGTGCAGATGACGATTATATATTTAGAAAACTCCATCGTCTCAGTCCAAAAACTCCTTAAGCTGATAAGCAATTTCAGCAAAGTCTCAGGATACAAAATCAATGTGCAAAAATCACAAGCATTCTTATACACCAATAATAGACAAACAGAGAGCCAAATCATGAGTGAACTCCCATTCACAATTGCTACAAAGAGAATAAAATACCTAGGAATACAGCTTACAAAGGATGTGAAGGACCTCTTCAAGCAGAACTACCAACCACTGCTCAAGGAAATAAGAGAGGACAGAAACAAATGGAAAAACATTCCATGCTCTTGAATAGGAAGACTTGATATCATGAAAATGGCCATACTGCCCAAAGTAATTTATAGATTCAATGCTATTACCATCAAGCTACCATTGACTTTCTTCACAGAATTAGAAAAAAGTACTTTAAATTTCATATGGAACCAAGAAAAGAGCCTGTATAGCCAAGACAATCCTAAGCAAAAAGAATAAAGCTGAGGGATCATACTGCCTGACTTCAAACTATACTACAAAGTCTACACCACATGTCCACAACCATGTGATCTTTGACAAACCTGACAAAAACAAGCAATGGGGAAAGGATTTTTTAAGAAATGGTGTTGGGAAAACTGGCTAGCCATATGCAGAAAACTGAAACTGGAGCCCTTCCTTACACCTTATACAAAAATTAACTCAAGATGGATTAAAGGCTTAAACGTAGGACCTGAGACCATGAAAACCCTAGAAGAAAACCTAGGCAATACCATTCAAGATATAGGCATGGGCAAAGACTTCATGACTAAAACACCAAAAGCAATTGCAACAAAAGCCAAAATTGACAAATGGGATCTAATTAAACTAAAGAGCTTCTGCACAGCAAAAGAAACTATCATCAGAGTGAACAGGCAACCTACAGAATGGGAGAAAATTTTTGCAATCTATCCATCTGACAAAGGGCTAATATCTAGGATTTATAAGGAACTTAAACAAATTTACAAGACGAAAAAAACAGACAACCCCATCAAAAAGTGGTTAAAGGACATGAACAGACACTTCTCAAAAGAAGACATATATGTGGCCAACAAACATGTGAAAAAAAGCTCATCACTGGACATTAGGGAAATGCAAATCAAAACCACAATGAAATACCATCTCACGCCAGTTAGAATGGCAATCATTAAAAAGTCAGGAAACAACAGATGCTGGAGAGGGTGTGGGGAAATAGGAATGCTTTTATACTGTTGGTGGGAGTGTAAATTAGTTCAACCATGGTGGAAGATAGTGTGGCAATTCCTCAAGCATATAGAACTAGAAATGCCATTTCACTCAACAGTCCCATTACTGGGTATATACCTAAAGGATTATAAATCATTCTAGTATAAAGACACATGCACACGTATGTTTATTGCAGCACTATGCACAATAGCAAAGACTTGGAACCAACCTAAATGCCCATCAGTGATAGACTGGATAAAGAAAATGTGGCACATATACACCATGGATTACTATGCAGTCATAAAAAAGAATGAGTTCATGTCCTTTGTAGGGGCATGGATGAAGCTGGATACCATCATTCTCAGCAAACTAACACAGGAACAGAAAACCAAACACCGCATGTTCTCACACATAAGTGGGAGTTGAACAATGAGAACATATCACAGGGAGGAGAACATCACACACTGGGGCCTGTTGAGGGGTGGGAGCCAAGGGGAGAGATAGCATTAGGAGAAATACCTAATGTAGATGACAGCTTGATGAGTGCAGCAAACCACCATGGCACATGTATACCTATGTAACAAATTTGCATGTTCTGCACATGTATCCCAGAACTTAAAGCATAAAAAAAGAACATGGATTAATTTTTTCACAGTTCTGGAGGCTAGAAGTCCATGATCAAGGTCCTGAAAGGTTTGAACTTTTCAGAGGCCTCCTTCCTTGGTTTGCAAGTGGCCGCCGCCTTTCTATGTCCTCAGTCAGGGTTGTCTATGTTCTAATCTTCTCTTCTTATAAGAACATCAGTTAGATTGGATTAGGGCCTACTTATAGGACTTCATTTCACCTTAGTTATCACTTTCAAGGCCCTCTCTCCAAACATAGTCATTTTGTGATGTGCTTGGGATTAAGACTTCAACATACTAATTTTGGGGGATGCAGTTCAGCCCGTAACAGCACCCCCAATATAATATGATGAGAAAAACATTTCAATTCTGTGGTATTAGGTCCTATAAATTCCTAATTTAAATCTAGCCGCTAGAAAACCATCAGACAAACCAAAATTAAGGAACATTTATAAACTATCTTACCAGTACTCCTCAAAATATCAAGGTCATCAAAAACAAGGAAAGTCTGAGAAACTATTGACTAGAGGTAACTAAGTAGACATAACTACTAAATATGATATCCTGGATGGTATCCAGAAAGAAGAAAAAGGACATTTGTGGGAAAATGAGTGAATCTTAAACAAAGTTTGGAGTTTAGTAAACAGCAATATACCAATGCTTGTGTTTTTAATTTTGGAAAAATGTAGCACCAATGTAATATTTTAATAATAGAGGAAACCCCATTAGTAATATATGGGTATTCTCTGTACTATCATTGCAATTTTTGTGTTAAAATTCTATTCTACTCTAAAACAAAAAGTTAATTATAAAATTAGTCTGTTCCCTATTGTGTCTAAATATGTTGAGACCATTTAGAATAAGAATATGGTTTGACCCCTTAAAAGTCTAGTGTTGGAAGAAATTATAAAACTCTATAATGAATGCCATTTGAAATCAAAGGGAAAAATGGAGAACACTGGCTGTTAAGAAAACTTTGTATGATTGAGTGGTAATGATTCTGGGATTTATTTCAGGTTTTAAAGATATGGGAAAGAGGTAGATATGGGGAAGTAAAAATATGCCAAAGAATTTCCCTTACCAGTAACTTATAAAATGAACAGTAATAATTAAAATTTTAAAATTAGTAAAAACTCATTAGCAACAACCATAAAAAGGAAGAAAACCATTATACATTCAAAAAGTGGTGGTTAATGGAAGAAACAGAAAATTATAGTTTGGAACCCTCTAATATGTTGGCCCTACCCAGAAGGTAAATATGAGAGAAAAAGTTGAATCTAAAAATTGTTGAGATGTGTCACTGATATTCTTTAGTTTAAGGAGAAAGTAACTAAAGAACTAAAGAAGCAGGACTGAAAAAAGTCAGAGGAAACCCTACAAGGTATAAACCTCTCCAGGTAGGTATGGGACCTGAGAGAGGCAGTAAGGCAGCTGGGGGCTACTATCTCCCAGGGCACTGTCCAGAGTTAGGTAACAATCTAAAACCTAGAAAATGGGACATAATGGTTAGGTGGAGTAGGACTTTGCAGAGGACAGCTAATACAGAGTTCAACTCAGATCACTCAGAAAGGGTCATTTTCATCTCCAAGAACTACTGTCTCTCCCCATCCAACCCTTAATACTTAAAAAAATTGAATTAACAACAAATCTCGTCCTTCAAACCATAGCCCAGAAGAGGGTAGAAAAACTGGTACCTGATAAGGACATCAAAGATAATATACCACCCTGTAGCAGAATAAATAAAAAAAGAGCTATGCTGATTAATTATGACGAAGAAGAAATTTTATTGCAACAGTGCTAATATACTAGAGGAAAAGAAAAAAGGAGGGGAGGAAGGAAAGGAAAAAGGGAGGAAGGAGGAAGGAAGGATAAAAGAAAGTAACATATTATGAATGTGCTCGGGCAAGACCTAGCATGGAAGGAAACATAACCCAAGAAACTAAAGCGAATTCCTCATGAATGCCTTATGTCATAGAAAATCTTAGTTAGGATCTAAGAGTTCAAAAGCAAGAAGATAAAGCAACAGAAAGGACTAGACAAGGAAGCTACAGACCAAAGGAAACAGATTAAGAACCACTGCAAATGAACAATCCAAACCTATCATTACAGAACTAATATATTAGTTAGAGCCTATAAGGGGCAAAATAGACTTATCTAGTTTTTGAATTAATGACTTGCAATAACCACAGTAAATAAAGAAGAAAGAAAAGAAAGCAATCAAAGAAACAATGACAGACTTGATGACAAAAGCAATAGAATGTAAAGATAATTGTGATTTGAAGTAGAAAACTCAACAAATTGAACTAAAAATGCACTTAAAGATATGATACAGAATATTTCCATGGGTGAAATCTTCATATTTTTGAGAAAAGCTGACAGAGAAAAATCAACAGCAAATACACATTGGTTAGGTAGTTCAACTTCAAAGATAAATAAAGAGTTCTCCAGGGCACCTGAGAGAATAAAACAAGTTTTCTACAGGAAACAAAAGGAGTGTGGCCTAAGAATTTTTTTCTGAAGTTTATTCTCAGACGATAATGGAGCAAAGTCTACATATTCTGAGAGAAAGTATGACACAAAAGTATGTATCCAGCCCAGTTGTCATTTAAGACAGTGATACAGTAAATATGACACGAACAGCAGTGTTCATGACAAAGGAGGAGGAGAAGGAAGAAATTCTAAGAGTTCACCCCTTTGTCTTCCAAGAAGACCTATTGGTCCATCCTTACTAAGTATAGATATGGATTTTTATGAGCTCCATGCTTTGGTTTTCTTCCTTAATCTTAGAAGGTTTTTTAAAATTTATTTTTTGACAAAAATTATATACTTTATGTACAACTTGTTTTGAAATGTGCGCATATTGTGGAATGGCTAAATTGAGCCAATTAACATAGGTATTACCTCACATACTTTTTATTTTTTTTGTGGTGAGAACACTTAAAATCTATTCTCAGCAATTTTTAAGAATACCATACATTATTATTAACTATAGTCCTTTGAAAGTTTTTTCTTTTTATAAATAATAATCATTTGGTAAGGAAACATTTATTTCAAGGTTAATAATTCCTTCAGTTTCACTTGTTTTTTTTTCTGTTAGATTCAAAAAAATTAAATTTAATATTTTTTATCTTTAAAAAAGCATGTATTCTATCATCCAATTCTTAAATAATTATATCTGGCTCACTTTCTCTTTTCCTCTGTTTATACACATAGAGATTGGAAAATGTTTCCCAAATATAACACTGGTGTATAAACAAAGGGAAACAGTGTGGTGGGATTTTGGATGAGTTATCTCTTCTTTGTGCCTCTTGAAATTGTTGCATTTATTTTTAAGATAAGCAGGCATCATTTTATCTAGAAAAAAAAGTTGTTATCTTTAAAAACTACAGCTACATGAAGAAAAGAACAAAAATTATCCTTTTTTATTCTTTCTTATGCCTTTGAAAAAAAAACAGTGAAATGCGCACAGGAAAAGGCTGTTTGCAGTGTGGTTTTAGATTAGAAGAGTATTTCACCTTCAGAAGGGTTTGCGCATTAGTAAGAGTTGGGTCTCTGTCTGAGGAAGTCCCACAATGAAGTACTCTCTGTTTAAATAAGCAACAATTAAAAGCACCGTAAGGGCAGTTTATGCCAAAAATGAAAATCAACTTCCTGAGAGACCATGGTCAAACAGAACAAAAGGTTCTATGCCACACCTGGAAGTCACCTAGAAAAAAGAAAGTAAAAGTTGTTCTATGATTAAAAAGCAAAACAGTGAAAAGTAAGCAATAGTTAATAATGGGCAAGTTCAATGGCAAACTGTACTTAAAGTTATCAAGAACTGGCAATTGAAATTTATTACAGGGAGATTTGTAATTTTTATTAAGAATTCCAGTAAGCTCCAGATTTCTGGGTATGTGAATTACTAGGAAGGAATTTGCTCTTTTCAGGCCAACATTTGATTTTTTTAACGATGTAATAAGGTCAGTAGATCATAAGTCTCCATTATCTTACCTTACATTGACCCATTTAATGACTTTGAAATGTATGAATTAGGCCCTGTCAAGGATTGGACAAAGATTACTATGACTTTGCTCTTTTTTTTTTCCATTTAAACAATGTCTGTGCACTGTTTTCATAATTCTAACTTTCTCCTTACTTCTCAACAATCCATTCTTTCCTTTCTACCCCTTGTAGAATAATTTCCATTGTCTTCACATATAGTAGAGGATTTTAGGATCTGTCCTTGAGTAATTATAGGAGATACATGCATATAATTGCCTAAAGCCCCCTATTAATAATCTAGGAATGACCATTAGAGTTTACATCTAACAACATTGAACTAAATCTCTGCTAACGGAAGGGCACTTTCAGGACCAAGACTAATTATTCCCAGATCAATCCCTACGTGTCTTGTGCAAAAATTATTTCCTGGTCAAATAAATTTAGGAAAAAAAATCCATTCCGTGTACTTCCCTTGATGGGCCCCAAAGCAGTGTAGGATATTAAAGACTTTGAGAAAGTCTCAAGAAAGGCACAACTATGGTTTTGTTTAGTCTATGCTTATTTCATCTGAGACCTGTTTCCCAGCCCCTATTTCCCACATCATTTCAGCAGCAGAACACACTTTGGAATTTCATCTAGAATTTTGTGTT
The DNA here is from genome assembly GCF_000001405.40 of Homo sapiens. Lineage (NCBI taxonomy): Eukaryota > Metazoa > Chordata > Mammalia > Primates > Hominidae > Homo > Homo sapiens. The sequence goes on along the minus strand of NC_000007.14, from coordinate 113,465,426 downwards.
TTCATGTTGTTATCTTTGCTGTAATAATTTTTTATTTATCTTTCTGTATTTTCTATTCTTTATGATGGCTTAGATTCAATATTCTGTCTTTCGAAGGGCATGATTTTCCATGTAGCTAAGCTTTGCCTATGTTCTTTGGACTTACTACTGATAAATAAGTTTTTGTTTCATCAGGGGTTTTCTGCTTTACTTCATACTCTATCTGAACCAATGCTCTTCTTGTAGCAAATTATTAAATAGTTTTTTTAATTTCATATAGTTTTGTCTCCTTTTACAGACATAACATTATTCAGATTGCAACGATCAAATCACAATCCTCTCTAAGCTCCAACTCAATATGAGATCTCCTCTTATGTTGTTATTACAACTCATTTCTGCCCTTTAAGTCTCTTAAGTTACCTTTAGCAATTTTGATTTAATCAATGCATTCGGTAAACAAAGAAATTAGTAATCTTCTGCAGATATTCGTTTACCACCTAAATATTTGTGAAGCACTTGCCACATTGCAGCCACTATGCAAAGTGCTGGGGATACCATGATGAAAAGAACCCAAACATATAAGGTCTCATGTCATTACTATCTAACACTGGAAACATACAGTAATTATAAATGGGCAAAGTATAATAAAAGAGAAGTATAAAGAGTTACAGGGCCATATAATGAGTTAACCATGCTAGTCTGAAGGACCACAGGCTTCCCATGATTTTTAAACCGAGAGAGTCATTCATTAAACAAGTACTTATTAAGTACCTACTCTGGCACCATGCTAGAATTGGAGATGAAACATTAAACAGAAGACATAATCTTTGCCCTTGTGAAGACTTAAGTTTCATTGGAATGTCAGAACACATAAATAAACTTTAAGTCATGAACTATAAGAAGTAATAGGTAGTGAATAAACAAAACATAAGGAAAACAGAGGACCTGCCAGGGTTGTTCTGGGGAGTACTCTCTAAACAACAAAATCTAAGCTGAGAACCCAAGAATAAGAACCTAATCATTTTTGGATTTAGAGAAGGTGAGTTTCTGGCAATACAAGTGGCAAGGGCAAAGGCCCTGCAGCAGGGGAGAGTTGGCCTGAGTATGCTGGCATTATCAGTCAGGTGAGCAAGCGACAAGAGAGTTCCATTAGATGAAGTTGGACTTGTGCCCCTATGTGGGTCATGGCAAGAGTGACTGTTTTACTCCAATTAGGAAATTATCGATAGGTTTTAAGAGGAGTGGCATAATATGATTTAGATTTTAACAAAGTCATTTGGTTTCTACCTGGAGAATGTATAGGAGGGAGCCAAGAGCAGAACTGGGAGGCCAGTACAGATGATGTGAAAACAATCAGAAGAAAAGATCACAGTGAAGGAGTTGGAGAAAAGAGGAACGGCAGTCCAAGCCTCCTGCTTTAGTAACACATTAGATGGTGGTGTCATTTGCTGAACTAAAAAAGACTGGGGGATATCAGGTTTCTGGCAGAGAGAAATACAATAAAACTTTTTAGAATATGTTAAGTTTGAGATGTCTCTGACACATCCGAGTGAGACCTCATGTAAGATATTGTATTTACAACTCTGGCTTTTAGAAGAGCCTCATCTGGTATTTTAAGTCAAAAAACTGATGATCACTTGAGGCCAGGAGTTCGAGACCAGCCTGGCCAACATGGCAAAACCCCGTCTCTACTAAAAATACAAAAATTAGCTGGGCATGTTGGCTCGTGCCTGTAATCCTAGCTATTTGGTGGCTGAGGCACGGGAACCACTTGAATCCATGAGGCGGAGCTTGCAGTGAGGTGAGATCACATGCACCACTGCACTCCACCCTGGGCGACAGAGTAAGACTGTGTAAAATCAAAAACAAAACAAACAAACAAAAAATACCTGCTGAAATTACCTATCCTATAGAGCTATAGAGAGACCATAACAAGAGAAGAAAATGGACCCAAGGACTTAGTCCTGAGAAAATCCAACCAGTAGATTTTGGGTAGCAAAGAATCAGAAAAGCCAGTCAGTTAATGAGGTAGGAAGAAAATTGAGTCTATTTCTGCAGAAATGAGAGAAGAAAGTGTTCAAAAATAATAGAATTCCATGTCTGATTAAATATTGCTGAGAGGTCATGATAAGGATAGAAAAATTTCCATTTGATTGTGTCACATGGAGGCTTTTGCTTATCATGACCTGGGCATATATCTGAAAAAATGAATGTGAATAGTTTAAGTAAAAAGAAGGGCAGGAGAACATCCCATTCAAAGAAAACAATGTATGTGAAGTCTCTAGATGGAAAAGGAAGAGGCCAAGGCACCAGAGATCCTGTATGAATGAAACGTGGGCACAGAAGAGAGAGAAGAGGCTAACACAGGAGGGAAGAGATTTTATTAAGTATGGGGGATATCAATGTCAATATGGTATGTCTTATCAATATAAATAATATTTCCCCAAAAAAAAATTTGCTATGTGAAACTGGGGAGGTAGAATTAGGTAGAATATTCTAGAGAGAAGATATACCGGGTACAAAAGCCCAGCGCTAGGGAGCAGTATGGTACCCTTAGAGCATTGAAGTACTTAGCCAGGCTGAAGTGGAGCATGTTGTGGAGTCTTGAGAGGAAATATTCTACAGGGTAGCTGGGGATCAGTCAGTCATGAGGGACTGTGGGTGCCATGCTTAAGTTTGTGCTTATTCTATAGACAGTGGTAAGACACTGGAGAACTCTAAGCAGCTGAATGAGATAATGTGATGTATAATGATTAAAATTTTGAAAAGATAACTCTAGCAACAGTGTGGGAAATAATTTGGGGTTGGGGGTTGGGGGAATAAGACTTGAAGCAAGGAGACCATTAAGGGGACTATTGGAATATCAGGTAGAGGCAAGAAATGTTGACTGTCTGAATTAAGATGATGGCTATGGAAATAAAGAAGGAAAACACAAATTCTCAAAATTTTAAAAAAGTGGAAATGAAAAAAATTAATATTTGGAGGTAGGGTACTGTGTAAAGAGATTTTCAAGGTAGTTCCCAGGATTTAGGCTTGGGTGACCAGACGGATCTTAATACCATCTCACAAAATGGGAAGTGAGTATATCAAGCAGCAAATAAAGAGAATGAAGATTTCCATGAGGACAAAGAGTAGATGTCATAGAATATGAAGTGAAGGAAGAAGTGGAAATACAGAAGCTTATAGTCTGAAAATGAATTATTAGAATTTGGGATTTTAAGGTAGGAGTTTTTCTAAACAATGAAATGGATCAAGATTTGTTATAGAAGAATAAAAAGACACAAAAATAAAATGGAGCTAGATAACTTGATTAGAATTTTTAAAAGTCACATGCCCAATTGTTCTGAACATATGTTCAAGATGGTTGGCAATATAACTGGAAGCTTTCTAGAGGATAAAGGTAGAAACAGAATGAATTACAATGTTTATGGTATCTTTAAGATACAAATCAAAGAGTTGTTCATCAGAAGCCCAGCTTTCCAACATTCTAGGACTAGAAAAATTTTTTTCCTTTGAATTCTCAAAAGAGGACACTGACTTTGGTTTTATAACTGGGGTGTGCTTCCTCTGATAGTCATGCGAAGTACCTGTTACTACTTAGACCCATGGGATAAACACAACACATCTCTGTGGAATTGAAATTTATTTGAAAATTTAGAGGAAAATTATAATCATTTATTTGTATTAAAATAAACATGTATGTATGTAGTAGCAGAAAATAATAGGTGAGCTTTTAAGACAAAATATGGGTCAACAATTAATTTCTACACTTACAGTCGCATTCCTAAACTGAGAGATATCACTATATCCTCCTCCATCTTTTGAAGGTTATAGATATTCAGTGCTTTTCAAATTTTTCCATTAATTTAAACACTAGATAGGTAAGATCTTAATAGTAATCACTGTTATGGATTTTATATAGATTTTTGTTCTCTCGATGGAGGCTGGTGGTCCAATGTTAATGAAAGTAATACATTAGGGGCCAAAACAATGCAGAACACTACTCAGTTCTCTCTTGTTCTGACTTGAACCAAGGAAAAATTTTGTCATGGGTTGTAATGCATATATTTCACATAGTTTTTCAAAAGTGTTATTTATTTTAACACAATTTTTAAATGAGATTGGGCAACAGAGAGTTCAAGGTTATATTATTTGACAAGTATCTGGAGTGTAATTATATTATATTGCCAGTTACAAGTTGGTTTATATGCACTGGTGATCAAAATTTTAGGTAGGAATTTAGGTTAACAGAACCTAACTCATAAAAAATATGTGCCTGAAAAGACACTTCAAGGAGATGAGCTGAGGCATAACAGAAAGCTCACTTGAGTGTAAATGATTCCATGAGCAAAGACAAGATATCCTCCGAAAAGAAATTTGCATCCATTACAACTTATAAACAGATGGATAACCAAATTTCCAAAGGATATATCAAGAACATGGCCATGATAATTCTAAAATAGAAAAAATAAATTTAAGTAAGTGCTACTAAACACCTGCTATAGACTTGGGAACAAATCTTCAAAAATCATTTGAGAAATTGTTTACATTTAAATAAGTAAACTGATTGCACAATGTATCTGTAAATAATAAGCAAGATGGCTTGCTTAACACAATAATTCTAAAACCTGACTTTGCCTTAGCATCACTTGAGAAGATTTTCTAAATCACAGATCCTCAGGCCCCACCTCACACATCTACTAACTGAAGATCTTCCAGGAGACTGTATGCCTAACAGGCTTTCCAAATAATTCCTGTGCATGCAGACTTAGGGAGCTCTACAAGCCTGTTCACTCTAAAGTAGATGGAGGCTAGATGTTCACTACCAAAAACAATTAATTACACTCTTCATGCAATAGTTGATGTTTAGCTATTCTATCTGATGTTAATTAGACAGCACTGCAAAAATACTGATAATTTGTGACAATAAAACAATGTTCCCAGCACACATGAAGGTGATTGTTTCCCTGGTCTCTTTACTTGGAGAACCAGCAGGTGCCTGCACCAAGCTCACACTAAAGAAGTATTGAGTTATTAAAGAACTAGTTGAAGAGAAGGGAAGTCAGTACACATCTCTATTTTATCTGCTGGAAATTATTATCTGACTCACCAGGAGACTGTTTCTAAGTGCAAGTTACATCAAAAGCTGCTGGCCTATACTGAATTCATTTAGTTAGACCTGTAACTGATTCACGGACTTGGAGTCAAAGGCCACGAAACGATCAATAAAAGCTACACACAATCCTGTGTTGCATCTGACAAATTTCTCCCAGAGTTGATAAAAACAATAACAGGCCTAAATCATTCATCCACCCCTCTAATAAAATATCGGCTTAAGTAGCTTCAGCTTAATAATTTATCTAGAAGGACAGTCTTACGAGCTTAAAAAATATCCTAAAACTTTCAGAAGGTAAGTTACCACTGTTTTTGCTTGTTTTATTACAGAGGGTTTGACAACACCCTCTTTATTAAGAGGAGGCCATAACAGAGTCAAAGTTTAATAGACTGGCAACAAATTTAAATATACTTACAAAACAGAACATTAATATTTTTGGCCATTTAGCTGTGGAAGCAAAGATACAGCTGACAGAAATCAGGGAACATGAATGGAGAAGTAGGAAGTAGTGGGAACATGGTGGAACTAATAATATCAAATAGGTGGAATGGGGAGTGGTGGACAGATGTTCTCTAAAGTTTGATAGAACAAGAAATAGAGTTTTAACATTACAAAAATAGACAGAAGACAAATGAAAAACTAAATAATACCTTTTAAAATAAAGAGGATTTTATTTTGTTCCTTTTTTAGTTGACACATCATAATTGTAGATATTTATGGGATACAGAGTGACGTTTGATACATGTATACAATGTGTAATGATCAGATCAGGGTCATTAGCATATCTATCACCTGGAACATTTATAATTTATTTGTGCTATAAACACTCAATTTTTTTCTAGCTTTTTGAAAATATACACTAAATTATTCTTAACCATTTTCACCCTACAGTACTCCAGAGCACTAGAACTTTTTCTTCCCATCTAAATGTAACTTTGTTAGCCAACATCTTCCTATCCTCCTCTTCTCCCTACCTTTCCCATTCTCTAATGACTGCAATTGTACTTTCTACTTCTATGAACTCAAAAGTAGAGAGGAGTTCATTAAAATAAATCTTCAAGTTTCATAATGCTAAGTTAATAGATAAAATCTTAAATTGATGTCAATAAATAAAATTATAGGTTTAATATGTAAAGACTTGGCAATAACTGGATTAAGAGTTAAAAGCAGGAGATACTTTGGTTTTGATTTTATTTTTCTTGGCAGCAAGAGAAGCAGCAATGTGGAGTGGTGGACTGAGGGGGATGGGAGAGGGATGGCAGACACTTATTCTTCATTAGAATATCTTCTGCACCATGGGATCTGCTTAACCATGTGCATACGCTACTTTGAAAAAAGAACTTAAAAGAATGGAAAAAAGGGCCCTGAGCACTATAAAATTTAGAGTCAGTCTTGGCTTATAAAGCTGGCAAAATTAGGCCTGATGAATATCAATTCAAAATCAGGTTTCAGTGATCTCTCATAAAATTCAGGAAACTGAGTCCTGATATCTTCCACTCAATCTGGAACTTCAATATTAAGATTTGTTCTTTGTTTTTGAAAATATAACGTTCATAACATTTTAGTCTGATAAACTCAACTATGGTCTCTTGGCAATTTCATTTTCTATGTTGCTTCTCTAATTATTAGTATTTTCCTCTGATAATTGAAATTCTTTCTCTGAGTAGTAGAAAGGTGAACCTGTGATTTTGTGATGTTTTTCCCATCCAAGCACAATAATCTAGACAAAAACTGAATGACTTAGATGGAGATGAATGCCCCTACTCAGGAGGAAATTCCTTAACCTGCTAAATTTTTTCAACAGGAATTGTTGATGCCTCTGAAGTTTTAGGTTGCTGAATGCTTTTTCCTGAAGTCCCTGAGGTTTACCCTGCTATGTAGACCATCTGTGATTCTGCAGCACATTGTTTTGGATGATGTCTCAGTACCTGTTGAAATTCCTTTTAATGAGGATTGGTGAAGAGATGTTATAAAAACACACTTAATGGATTTTGTAAAATCCACACTATTTAATTACATTTCCCTAAATGTGCTCAGTTCCCATGTGACCAGGCTGTACCTATGATTTCTCTTAAAACTTGAATGTAACTTATAGCCTCAGAAAGAAGTGACTCAGGCCATAAACTTAATTGTACCCTACTAGCCCTGCTCTCTCATCTCTGATTGGTTTTATACTTCAGTGGCACTATAAAAAGAGAGTGTGGGAAAATCATATTACCAACACTTAGAGGAAGAATAAGAAGAAAAAAAGAAAGCAAGTTGTTATAAAAGATACTATAAACATTTTTAAATTAAAGAGAAAGAGTTGCATATAAAACACTACAGAAATATTTTTATTTATTACTTTAATCTCCAATCACCTTCTCCCTGTATGTTTGGCCGGTGTAATTATCACTCACTAACTGGCCTATAGGAAGCATTACTGATACTCATTTTTCTAATTACAAATTTAGTATTTATCATTCACTTGACTTAACACTGCGAGTACTAGTTACAATAAAAAGTACAAGTAGGTAATTATATGTGGAAAAGGAGTGTTTCCCAGAGATTAGAATAGAAATAAATGGGATTCAGCTTTACCCATTAAGAATGTGACCAATGCTGGTATATAAACATGTTGGGCCTCAGTTTCTCATGTATTGGGCCCTCTACCCCAATACATACATAGCCTCCTGGATTATCAATATCCTCCACCAGGCAGTACTTTTGTTACAAATAACAAACCTACATTAACACATCATAATCACTCAAGGTCCATAGTCTACCATAGTGTTCACTTTGGTATTATACATTCTATGGATTTGGACAAATGTATAATGACATAAATCCACCATTATATTATTATACAGAGTAGTTTCACTGCCCTAAAAACCTCTGTGCTCTGCCTATTTATCGCTGTCTCCCCAACCCCTGACAATCACTGATCTTTTTATTGTCTCCGTAGTTTTGCCTTTTCCAGAATGTCGTACAGTTGAAATCATACTGTATGTAGCCTTTTGGAATGGCTTCTTTCACTTCGTATAATAATACACAATTAAGGTTCCCCCATGTCCTTTTGAAACGGGAAAGGTTCACTTGTGTCCCCTTGCAGGGTGTGCGATGGGGGTGTGGCTTGCTTCTTCAGTGCCCCGCTGCTCAAACCCATAGGGGAGCATACAGACTGGCAGGCTTTGGCGCTCCGACCCCACGGCAGTGTCTAGAGGTGAATGTTTACAGCTGAAGCCCCAGTGGGCGTTTGTTACAGGGTGATCTTTTAGTTCGCCGTCTATAGGAAGCTTGTGTTAACCAGCTCAATTAGACCCCCTACCTTGTCGCAAGGACAAAGGGCTTTCTGTATCTTGGGGTTTCTTGCTTTGGTGTACCAGAAGAATCGGATCGCATGTGGGCTTTGAGAATGAGTGCAAGGTTTTATTGAGTGGAAGTAGCTCTCAACAGATGAGGGATCCAGAAGGGAACTGGTTTTCCCCTGGAGTCGGGCAGCTAGGCGGTCAGGGATCTCCTCAGCTGCCCCAGCCAAACTCTGAGTCGTTCTGCTGGTCAGTGGCCTGTGGGGAGCTGGTACCTGTCGGTGTGATCCTCTCGACGTCCAGCCGCCTGTGTGTTCCTCTGCTAATGTGTTCCCCTCCATGTCCAGCTGCCTCTGTCTCTGCCTTGCTAGGGTCTCGGGTTTTTATAGGCACAGTATGGGAGCGTGGTGAGGGTGGTCTTGGAAAATGCAGCATTTGAGTGCGAGGGCAGAAGTGTCTGTCCTCACCTAAGTCTGTGGGGTAGAGCCCTAGCCAGGGTCCACGCCCTCCCCTTCCCAGCACTTCTCTTCCTCACTTCTGTATCGTTTAAAGGGACCACGCCCTTCCCTTCCCAGTACTACTGTATCACTTTCATGGCTTGATACCTAATTTCTTTTTTGTGCTGAATAATATTCTGTTATCTGGATGTATCACATTTAATTTATCCATCCACCTACTGAAAGACATCTTGGTTGCTTCCAAGTTTTCGCAATTATCAATAAAGTTACTCTAAGCATCTGTGTTCAAGTCTCTTTGTGGATAAGAGTTTTCAATGCATTTGGGTAAATAGCAAGGAGCATGATTGCTGGATTGCATATAAGTGCATGCTTAGTTTTATAATAAACCACCAAACTATCTCCTGAAGTGGCTGTACTACTTTACATTCCCACCAGCAGTGAATGAGGGTTCCTGTTGCTCTGCATCCTCACCAGCATTTGGGTAAGTGTTCTGAATTTTGGCCATTCTAATAGGTGTGCAGTGGTATCTCATTGTTGATTTAATTTGCATTTCCTTGATGATGTATGATTGAAGCATCTTTTCATATGCTTATTCGTCATGTGTATATCTTCTTTAGTGAGGTGTTTGTTAAGGTCTTTGCTCTACTTTTAAATGGGTTGTTTTTTTTTATTGTTGCATTTTGAGATTTCTTTGTAGATTTTTGATAACAGTTCTTTATCCAATGTTTGTTTTGCAAATATTTTCTTTCAGTCTGTGGTTTGTCTTCTCTTCTTGACATTGTCTTTCACAGAGCAGAGGCTTTTAATGCTAACAAAGTCCAGCTTATTAATTATTTCTTTCATGAATCATGACTTTGGTGTTGTATCTAAAAAGTCATTGCCATTCCCAAGGTTATGTAGGTTTTTTTCCTATATTATCTTCTATAAGTTTTGTGTTTTACATTTAGGTCTATGACCCATTTTTAGTTAATTTTTGTGAAGTGCATAGGGTCTATGTTTAAATTTATTTTTTTGCATGTGAATGTCCGGTTGTTCCAGCATCATTTAAAAAGATATCTTTGCTCCACCGTGTTGCCTTTGTACCTTTGTCAAACATCAATTGACTGTATTTATGTGGGCCTATTTCTGGGCTCTTTATTCTATTCTATTGATCTATTTGTCTTTCCTTTCACTAATACCAAATGTGGTACTAGGAGCTTTATATAAGTCTTGAAGTCAGCTAATGCCAGTCAGAACTCCAGCTTTGTTCTTCAATATTATGTTGACTATTCTTCATCTTTTGCCTCTCCATATAAACTTTAGAATCCTTTGTTAAAGTTCTGAAAATAACTTGCTGGTGACATGCTTTATTTTAAAAGTATTTCTAAGCTAAACTTCAAGCCTCTGTGACTCTCACATTTTTACTATATAAATTCCTTCCTTGAAGGGTTGTTTTTGGGAGGCTGGTAGCAGCCAATGCTTTACAAACAAGCGGCAGACCATTGACTTGACTGGGAATGGTTTTGCTTCCTGTCCAAATAATTTAAAGCCTGTTAAAGGTGTCGTCCAGGGCAAGAGTAGGCATGGTGATTTTTCTCCATCCACTCCTACTCTGTGAATTCTCTGAGAACCAGACTGTTTCTGTGCAGACATAAATGGTAGAGAAAGTATGTTTCAGACTGTCAAACTACAGAAAATATAGCTGTGATAATCAAGAGAATCACTTAAAAGGGTGAAATGGAGGTCAGGGTTTGTGTGAAAAAATGTTAGAAATAAGTGTTAATACTGAGGAAAAGCAGTCAAAGAGGGGAGTTTTTTTCTCCTTGTCACAAAGCAAGACAATGCCATTGTGTCCTGCTGCACTAGGCAGAGAGTCTGTGTAGCCACAGGATTCTATTATCTTTTAAGTTAGAAAGTACGTCACTCTTGGACAGTTTTAGTAATTTAACATGTTATAGCAAAGCCCATATAAAACACTTCCAAAATCTTTATTTTTTCATGGCTAGTCAAATCTATAAACCTATGTTTTGTATCTCACATAAAACATTTTCTTTCTCAAATATTTCTTGTCTTCATTCTTCAGAAATTATAGTGAGGGGGTTTGATGAGACATTATTTTGCCTGTACCAAGGAATTTATTTTATGCATGAAGTGGCTGTGCAATATCCCAACAGGGCAGGTCATCACTAATAGTGAAGCTCTGAGTCCTGGAGCAGTAGAGAAGGACAAGGGACTCACTGAAGCTTTCTGGCTTGGGATTGTTGCTTTTTAAATAGAGACTGAGAGTGAAGATGCTGAGCCCACTAGTGTCATTCCTCCTTAAGCTTTCCACTTGTTGGTGCAACATTCAATAGGGAACTGAGTAGGCATGGGAGGGAACCTGGGTTACCATACCTATGCATTTTATACCTATATGGTAAAAATGTCTTTGTTGTCTCCTTGGAAAGAAATAAAATTGACAGAGACAGATGGAAACTTAACCTTCTTTCTCTGAGGAGGCAAATTAATATGATTAAAATGAGCATTGCGCTTACATTGACTGACTTGCTAAATAGTCTTGCCTTGATGAAATTATAAGTATACTTAAAATATAGATAAATACCTGTAGAGATTTAATGTTAAACGGAAAAAATACCTGGATGGGTAAAAGTGGGAAGGGAAATGATCCTCACTAGATTTTTGAGGAAGAGCGAGATTTCCATTTGAGAAAACAAATATAGCTTAATTTAATAAAGCTTTATCTGTGTAAACTAACATTTACTAAAATAGAAATATGGAACAAAAAGCCCTAATAACATGACGAGAATTAAATTGATCACTTGGTAGGAACTAACATAAACTGTTTTTAAAAGAAATGCTGCCTTTGTTAAAGCAAATACAATTTACTGATAAAGAAAATAAGGCCCGACTTATTACTACGAAAGTAAAGATAACATTTTAATAAATGAACAATGAAGTAGTTAATAGGGGAAATGAATTCTAGCTTCTTAAAGGGGTGCCTTAAATGGTAGCATATAAAAATTCAATTTTATTTCAAGTGTCAGAAATTTGCTGGTATATATAAATGAAATATGTAAAGCCTTCTTCATTTGCACAAATGAATGCTACATAATTTCTTAAAATGTACTAAAGTATAAAATATGAGATTTAAAACATCAAAGTTAGGAGAATTGATTGGCTTTAGAACTTTGGGATTTCTTCATTTTCTATGCTAACCCAGATACATGCATCTAGATCCTTAATTCCATTGACATCTGGATTTTTTAGTCATTTACAATCGAAATTCATTTATTAATTACCTAAACCTAGAATATTTCACTTAACATAAGTATATTCTAATACTCCTAATGTTGCCTGAGGAAATACAATAGAACTTTAGATTAAAAATAAAACAAAACAAAGACAAAACAAAACTGAAGTGTGAGCCTATCTTCTGCAAATACACTTAGGAACACGTTTCCAATTCAGCTTAATTTTCTCCCATTAAGAAACATTAAACTGCCTTCATGAATTCCTTAAAAAAAGGATATATATATAGTTGGATTTTACCTTTGATGTGTACATAAAAGAAGTTACTTCACTTAAAATGATGACCATAAATCTATTTTTAACATATAAGCATGTCACAATAAGATTTTTCTTTATTATCTATTTAGTAAGCAATAGAACTGTCTAATACATTTGGGTTTATATATTTGTTTTTCTACTTATGAAGACTAAACGTATCAATGTCAGTGATTAAATGAGCTTGCTGCAGAAAACCAATTTGTAGGTATATCAAATAAGTAAAATATTGCTTACCAAAGTAGTGTGATTGTGAATATAATTCTTTCTAATAAGCTACTGGAAGGATTTTCTTCCCCTTTTAAGGCTTTAATTTATTATTATTTCACAGCAGGGGTGGAGATGTTCCCAATCCATTTTCCCTCTTCTTTTTCACAATCTCCCAAATGAAATCTTTATGAAACAGAACTTGATGCTTCTATTTCCCCATAATAGTTTTCTAGAAGGAAGTGAATTTATCTTAAATATATGGTAAAAATGAAGGTTCTATCTGCCCACAAATATACTAGTCGAGCCCTTTATTTGACACTGCCTGCTCTCATTGTACATTCCAGGTCACTGAAAACAGGACAGAAGGCTCTGAGCTATGTGCTCTGCTAAGTGGAACTATTTTGTTTACATGCACCAACGCCCCATTTGCAGAGAACCACGACGTAATCAGTGCAAGATACACAAAGGTAGATTTATTTTGCAGCCTGGCTTAAAAACAATAATGCCAAGACCTCTCAATTTCAAAAGTTTAATTTGTTTGATAAAATGCTAAGAACTGTATTGCTCAATGGTCTTTATCATGTTCAGTAACCATGATGGATAGAATTCAGATGATGTCTTCCCTTTATTTAATAGAAGTGTTTTATATATATATATTTCTATTATTAATTTATATAGTAATGGTACACTATTCAATAATGATGAGCTACTTGTAATGGTCTCATGAAGATTATATTCTTGAAAAAAAGGTTAAAATATGGTTTTCTTTTGAAAAGCATTATTAGAATATAGGGGTTTAAAGAAGAAACATCATCTGGTTGAACTATCTCATGCAAATGAGAAAATGTCATTCCAAAAGAGAAATGAATTCATTCAAGTGCATGCAGGTAATTGTATCAAAAGCTGTCTAATTCTGCAACCAGTGTTATTTCTATCATACTCCATTGCCTTCCTTGTACAAGTTTGTTGGCAGACAATGAAATGCAATGTTCACTTTCCTGGAGCTCCAATCTCCATCCTGAAATCACATTTTTATGCAATCTGATATTTTGAAAAAAAAAAAAAAGAACTAATAAATAGGTCAGATTAAGTTAAATGTTCAGTTTTCTATATGGTACACTTTGAAAATCACTGAAGGAATTCACAGCCCCAAAATTTATTCTTTATGTCTGTTGTGGCATATGAATATATCATCATTACTGTTACTTTGAAAATTAAGCTTGTGTCCTTCAAATTGTGTTTGAAGTCATCTGTGCCCTACTATATTGAGGGATAAACTTTAGTCCAAACTTTTTGATACATAACCATTCCCAACTTGCTAGTTTGGCAATGATTTAAAATTCAAAGGCTTGGAACTGAAACATTTTTCTTTAGAGTTATGATTCCTTATTACACATGTTTTTGGTGAAATATTTTTAAGATGACTCCAAATTTAAAGTCTCATCTCTAAGCCTATCTTACTCTCCCACATCCTGGTTTCCATTAATACTTCCCCAAGAGGCCAGACTGTAACATGGATGTTGTCACATGGATAAGGTAAAGGCGAGGTTGTCATCTTTTGTTCCAAAGGTATTAAGAAAAGACAGCAAAAAAGGAAAAAAAGATACAAGGAGTAATATACACAGCTTATGTGAAGAAAAAGGACAGGTGTTTGGTTTGCCTGCACTCCTCTTTGCTTGTGTTGAGGGCACAGAAGGCCTCTGATCTTTCTAAAGGAATAGTTGAAAGTAGCTGCAGTGTGAACCAGCAGGCCTACCATGGGACTTGCTAAGTCAAGGGCAGGATGGAGGACATGGCAGAGACACTGTGGGTGCAATGTAATGATGAGAGCCAACTCAGAACAAGGAAGGCCAGATCAGATATGTGCACCGATCCACAAGTTCAGTACGAGTACAAGCAGTTTAATCAGAGCACAGGCAGATGAGGAATATCCTCACTGTCCAGAAAAACCAGAGGATCCCATAGAGATTGTCTTCGCCCACTGCCGCAGCCCCATACTGCTTCCAGATGAATGAGTACAAAGAAATAGAAGCTTGTGGAAGCTTCTACAATTATATGAATAAAATACAGTGAAAAACTAAGGGGACCACTTAAATGATTATTTGGACTTAATTGTAAACTAAGTTGGACTACATGTATTTTGTTTTCATTTTCTTTCTCCAGATCATTTATAGGAGTGGGGTGTGAGTAATTTTGCAACCCTGCCGTATATACACACAGTCAGATTGACTGTAGATTCTATCCCTATTATTTAATAAAGGGAAGCAGTTATTACACTAATTTGTATCTTGTGGCTACTCAGTGCAACCCTGGACTGACTGTATTCCTAAGAAAAGGTAAGGAATGGAGGTAAAATATATTTAATTAAATCTACCTATTTAAATTGCTCTTGTTTACATAAACTTCAAAATAGGCATTTGGGGGCATATTCTAAATAGAATCCCTATGGATCAGGGGTTCCCAAACTTTTAGTCCACAGCACCCTTAGAATTCCTGTTATTTTTTAAAACAAATGCTGAAAACCAAACAAAATGACAATTTAAATAAATAATTTAATCTTCTTTCATTAAGTAATTAGAACCAACAGCCTATTATATTTTATGCCCTAATAAAATCATTGTTATTTTGAAAAGAGTAAACAGAAATTAAAAAAAAATTTATTTTATAATTAAATAACTACAGTTACTTACTAATAGGAGGTGTATAGCTATTGAGTACTGCACAATTTTTCAGGCCATGCAGTTATATTGGGCATGGCCATCCCCCATCTTTTCCCAATCCATATTGATTTTTGCAGAGTACTTGCTTTTTACACAGCAACAGCAACTGATGAAAGCTCAACTTTTCAAGGATATGATGATGTCAATTATGTAGTTTAGTGCATTCGAATGTAGAAATGGTGAAATACCTCAAGCTAGTATTTCATATGATGTCCAACAGATATTGGGTATTACAGTGTT
Source organism: Homo sapiens (assembly GCF_000001405.40). Lineage (NCBI taxonomy): Eukaryota > Metazoa > Chordata > Mammalia > Primates > Hominidae > Homo > Homo sapiens. The sequence continues at coordinate 113,449,873 of NC_000007.14, read as the reverse complement.
TCCCTTAAAAAGTTAATATGTCCTGCAGTGTCCTGTCCCTGTGAGTTTGTTGTGGTAGGTTTAGGACACTTACGTGCACTAAAACCTGAAGGTACAGAAGCTATGTTCTTTTAGCCCAGTGATATAAATTGGGTAGGAATTATGGGATTAATATTCCTTGCAATATCTCTAGAACAATGTTTGGCACTTAGTGAGTACCAATTACACTTTATCTATTCTAATTACTATTATTAAGACTGTCCCTGTGGGAAACAAACATATTCTAGTGACCAAGTACAGTTTTAATTTTGCTTCATCACATTTATTGAAAGGTGTTCCTCATTGCTCCTTATTCAATGGTCCCATAATACTTGCTTACATCTCTATTGCAGTGGTTATATATAATTGCAATTTGCCTATGTCTGACTCTACCTGCAAGCAGCTCAAGGGCAAAGAACACTCAGTCATTTGACATCACAAAGTCAAATGACATCACAAACACCACACTTTGCATAACATAAAAATATGTTTAATTAGCATGTATTGAATGAATGATCAAATGCAGAGTATTAATCTTCAGTGGTATTGAGCACTGAGTCATAAATAACATATTTAATTATCAACAACTACTTGAAGTTGTAGAGGATCTTTTCTTGAAGATTTTTTAAATGTTTGTATTACTAGGTCTGATTTATTGAGACTAGTCCATTGAAACAGGCTTATACCCAGAGAAATGATTTAAGCTTCTATATTTGTAGCATTTGATTTTTTCCAGACCTCTCCAGAAATCAATATGGTTGTCAGGGTGATCTTTATGTGGTCATGTCAAGCATTAGATCCTTACAAATCTGAGTATTAAGAATTTAACAAAATATAAACCAAGCTTCAGGGAATGTGAAAACTTGACTCAATTTCTTTCTGAGGTAAAATGTGTACTTACTAGATGACCTGACTCAAAATAGTTGTTCAATGAAGATCAAGGAATTTAACTCAGGATTTTAATTCCAAGCATGATTTAAATTTGTAAGGCTTCCCCAGGCACTTTTAAGCAAAATGTCTTCAACACTCAACTAAACTGAGTTTAACATAGTTGAGAATAAATATTTTCTGGCTTATTATTTAATAATAAAAATTGGAAGCAATTAAAGAATATGAGGTTGCTCAATTTATTTAATCTTGAGTTGCAGAAAATCTGTGTGTAAAGTAAACTAAAATGAAGTTATTGGGTTTTTCTGGTAAACAAATCTTTCACAACATTTCTAGGAAGTTTTTAGGTTTATCTTTGCATGTAAGTGGTGATACAGCAAAACGCCAAACTAAACCAATTTGAATTTTCAAGAGAAATGATTGTCTCATCCCCTATTCCTGAGTTTGTTGTTGTCATCAGTGTTACCAATAAATTAATAACTCAATGAAGGGACATGAAGGAGAAACTTGTAGAAATGAGAGTTTGCTTCCTCACTCCCTAATTTTCTGTATGTATTCAAAAAATTTATGTTGATAAAAATATAAAGAAAATCAAGAAACAAAATTAATGGGAGTTAGAAAATAAACCTTCCCCACTAGAACAAAAGGTCAAGCTATAGATTAGAATTTCATAGTATGTCCTCTGTTTATATCCCTAATAAGATCAGTAAGGCTCACTATTTGTAGAATTCTCATTTTTCATGGAAAGGTAATGTTAATCACAAACCTTCGTGTATGAGTTGTTTTAGTGTTTGCTTTAACTCTCAAGTAAGGATTCTCATTGTATCCTAGAAAATGAATAAAACATTAAATTTAAAACAATGCCTAATATAGACAAAGTATTACAGTGAAATAGTCCTATGGAGTATGTGTTCATTCTGATTTAATATTATACCATTATGAAAACAGCAATTTTCTAAACATTTTTAAAAAATCAACTGATTTTTTTAGTCAAATGCTTTGTAATAGATTGTTCTAGTTGCCATTTGTTTTATTATTTTAAAAATATTTTAGCTGTTACAATATGTGCGTTTTTAAGAACTTGTAAATGAATATATCAATATTAGTAGAATTGTATGATTCAAAATTTAAATCAGTAAATACATGGTTAATATTGATTATTAGAATAGGATGAGTGTCTTCACGCTGTCTAGAAAATCCATTATATTATTTATAACTACCGTGATACATCAATATGACAAATCTAATTATTTATGAATATTACAGCAGATAATGCTGTTAGTAACCCAAAATGTTACTTTGTTTATTGCCTTGCATTAAAAAAGGCTTAAAATTTTATATAAACAAAATTGAAAATGTGATTAACCCTCTACAAACTCTCTATTGATGGTTATATATTTAGTGATTGTTCATTAATCCTAAATCATTAGATTATGAAGTGACTGGACAGTAAAAATACTCAAGGTGAAAGAATAATTCCTTCTCTTGTCCTTGGAGATGCTTCCATTATAACTGCCTGGAAAAGGCTAGCAGTAGGACTGGGCTAGATAATTTCTGGAAAAATTGTGAAAACCACGAGCCCCTTGACTTCTATTTACTAGAGAAAGTGCTTAAAACATCACTATCATACAACCTTTATAGGTCATCTTGGAAAGTCACAGAATTCATCTTTTGACCCAAGGGCACCTGGGATCTGATAGTCATTTCAGGCTGCCTCCAAAACTGAGGGACCTGTCAATGACAGTTATTCATTTCCAGGACAGAATGGAAAAATAATATTTCTATCTTTAACATGAAGAATGGGCATGTGCTTTAATTCCCATAGTATTTGGTTACTATATTCCCAACATAGTGAGAGTAGTATGAGTAATTTTGATAGTTAAACATGATGCTAAATCTTCTCTGCATATACTTTTAGAAAAATGGTACATCATATTTATGATAAGATTTCTGGTCTGCAGCCATAGTTCCATTTATACTTCAGAAGAAAACCATGTCTGAAGCTGGATAGCCATTTAGCTGGATTTCTTTCTCTTTGCTTTTTTTAAGACACACATCCTAGTGAATTGAAAATGTTTCCTACACGCGCATAAAAATCTCTGTACTACAAAGTGATAAATTTTTACCAAAGGGAAGAAAAATGAATACCACTGTCAGTTACTGTATTTACTTTTGTTTTTTAAGAGAATTACTAAACTGAAGTGACTATAAACATTGAGGTCACTGTGATTTATGTTTTATTAGAAAAGTCTATCCTTTCATTGAAAAATATTTTTAAATTCCTTAAAATACCTGAAAAATGAGAATAATCTAAAATTAGAGACAGCTTTGTGGAGCAGATGACATGAGACACTTCTTGGAAGATGGGTAGAATTTTGACAGGTGGAGATGCAGAGGAAGGATATTCTGGGCAAAGAAACTGACATAAGGAAATAAAGAGTATGTTCAGAAAATGACAAGTATACTGGTATAGAAGGAATATAGAGCATTTTGGGTAGAAGAAAAAAAGAAAAATATGTGAGATTTTAAAAGTATATTGAGACCTGACTCTAGAATGTTTTGAAATACAAGGTAAGGTATTTGGGCTTTGTTCAATAGATAATAAGGGGAGAGGTTTTCTAATATTTAAATATACTTTAAATAAGTTCCAATAAGTGTCCAAGGAAAGGTTTACAATCTAAAGAATGGATATACATCAGATTAAGTGACTTATCTAAAAAAGAACACAAATCAAGTACCCCCAATTTTTTTTCAAACATTCTACACAATTTTCATATAAATATTTTTGATACAGGAGCATCTGTAACAATTTGGAATATATGCTTACTATAGATAGTGTTTGATCAGATATTTCAAGAAGAAACATATAATTACTATGTGTTATATAGTGTCAACATGCACTGAAAATAGCTAGAGTTAGTATCATCCCTAATAAGCTTTTTAATTGAATTTAAGCCTCCTTCCCTTCACTAAGCAAACTCAAAACCATATTGACATGCTCTTTAATTATTTAAATTTGTTACAGATTTACTTGAATCTCAATAGTTGATTACCTTTCTTGAGGAAAAAAAAACCTTTAAAATAGCTTTTAGTGCTCTTGTCTATCATAAGCCAAAAAAGAATGTATGGAATTAGTAAAAGTATTTTTAAAATATAAAATCTATCTTAAAAATATAGTATTTGTACCTAGAAAAATCAGAAGATTATGAAAGAGAAAACAAAAGCCAACCATTCTCCTACCACATGGAGACAATCATTGGAAACACTGGTGTATTCCTTCAAGCATATTTTTTCAGTGTATGAAAACATGCAATGTTTTACAAAATTGGAATAGCATCATTTTTAAAACTGATTTTTTAAATGTAAGAATATCTCAAATATTTTATCACTACATATTTGCAAAACTAATTTTAATAGTTGAAGCAGTTCCATTTTATGGGTATAATTGTTCCTTATTTTAATAGATATGATAGTTCTGATTTTTTTCTCTAATAAATATAAAATCTCTTATTTCATACAATACATTCATAAATTCTCTAAACTTTCATCAAATGGTATAAACTTGTTTAAAATATATTATTTTATGTTACAAAGAAAATATATTTATTATAAAGAGAAATATAAGGTAGAAAATAAAATATTTGATGATAACTCAAAAATAAAAACTGTTAACATTTGGCACATTTTCTTTAGGCCCCTTTTTCATACATATGTTGTACATACAGTTTGTATACTGCTTTCCTGATTTCATATCATATTAGGATGATTTTATTAGAGCTGTACATACTATTTAAATTATAATTGTTTGAATGATGACTATCTGTTGTCTAAAAATATATGATCAGAGTGAAAAAAGGAGGAAAAAACTTGAATTTATGATTACTAATAATTCTTTTAACTTGAGAGTACCATTTTTAACATTCTTGTGTATGCTCTTTTAGCCTTTTCTTTCTGCCCCCTTATACAGATTTAACAAAAAAAATCAAAATGATAACATACTCTATTCAAGGACATTTTCCTATCTCTATCTGATCTCATGTGTTAACTTTTAAATAGCACCTGTGTACTAAAGTCTTGAAAAACTGCATTTTCAGAACTGCTTCTGCCCCTCATAAATTTATGGGATATTATCTCAGAGATAAACATGATAGAATTTATGAATTTAGGAAAGAGTATCTCTGAGATGTATGTGACAGAATTTATAAATTTATAAATATCTCTGGGATAGTATATCTATATACAATCATATATATAGGATTATGAAGTTGGATCAGAGGGCAGTTTTATTACATACTGCCTAATTTGTCTCCTAAATTGTTGTGCAACTACATACTCCCAAACATGAATAAAGCTCCTCATCTCCCTACATCCTCACCAACATTTGGTATTAAACAGCTTCCTACCACATTCAATTCTGCCTATCTACTTAGCTTGTGCAGAAAATAGATGACTCTTGAGAAATGACAGTGGATTTATCATCAATTCATTCAGCTGGTGGTGACTCAAATTGCAGTTGCAATTCCAGATGTGCTTTATTGCATGAGTAACTCAATACATCCCTTGACAATTGGTATGCAACTACTGATCTGGAAAAGGCTTTTTCCCTCTACACTTGTTCTTTGGCATGTAAAGGGCATCAGAAGGAGGCTTTTTTGTTGTCAAGGCCTGCAATACACCTTCACTGTCTTACTTCAGAGGTATATTAACTCTCCAGCCTCATCACAATCTAGTCCACAAAGAAGGAATTCGATCCATTTTTCACTTCTTTACTTTTTAAAAATCACGTTGGTACATAGCATTGGTGACATTATGATGATTGAATCTGCAAGAAGTGGCAGCCCCTATGTATACAAGACTCTTACAAGCCAGAGTGTGAGAACAAACCCCACACAAATTCAGGAGCCTTCCGTCTTAGTGACAATGGAATTAAGGATAATAAAAACAATATCAAATTATAAAAATATATGAAAAGAAAGAGTAGATCACTTGTAAGCTAATATGTCAGACTGACATCGAATTTCTCAATGGTACCACTGGAGACAATAAGGTAGTAGAACACTATCATTAAATATTGAAGAAAAAGAACTTTATATTCTGAGGCATACAAGGACTCAGATATCTTTCCATGGATAGAGTGGCATTGAGAACACTCTTGAAAGAAGTTATAAAATAAAAATGATACAAATAAAGCTAGTGAGTGCTCCAAGACAGGGGCTACACTAGAGACCTAAATATATTTGTTGAATTAGTTTTTGAAAGCCTATGAAAGACTATATAAATATACTAATTTCTTATTTTAATAATATATCTTTTTTTTTTTTTTGAGATAGGGTCTCACTCTGTCACCCTGGCTGGAGTGCAGGGGTGCGATCTCAGCTCACTACAACCTCTGCTTCCTGGATTCAAGCGATTTTCCTGTCTCAGCCTCCCAAGTAGCTGAGATTACAGGTGCCTGCCCCCAAGCCTAGCTAAATTTTTTTGTATTTTTAGTAGAGACAGGGTTTCACTGGTTTCCCAGGTTGGTCTTGAACTCCTGACCTCAAGTGATCCTCCCACCTTAGCCTCCTAAAGTGCTGGGATTACAGGTATGAGCCACCACGTCTGGCCTTTAATTATAATACTATGTTTTTGTGTCATGAATTTGTATTTTTCTTCATCCTGTTTTTCTTAAAAGATCTGCTGATTAACTTATGTTTCAAATAATGATGGAAAACTGATATTCGATTTATTCCTTGAATAAACATTGTATACAACTATGAACCTGATGAAATATATAAAGCAACAGTTTTCAGGCATTGCATGATAGGCAGTGCAGAACTTGAGAGAACAGAAAAAGACTAGGAGAGGTAAACACCATAATCACTCAGGCTCTCTTCCTGGAGACACTTTGCCTATCTTGGCTAATAGATATGGAACAAAAGTAGAGAAGCAGTTTACCTGAGCTAAGGCAGATAGTGGGGTCCAAGGCTGTTAAGGGAGGTGGAATTTTCAGGACAGAGGATCAGAAAAGAGGAAGAAAAAGAGGAAGAAACACAGATGTGTGTCCCAGAATTCATGGCGATTACCCCTGAGTCTTTAACTAATCTCTATGCTGTATACATGCAGACAAATATGGCAAAAGGCCTAATAGAAATAAGTTGTTACAAGGCTGATAAATGAAAAGAGAAAAACACTAGCAGTTTTCCAGTACCAGGATACATTGGAGTTGGGCTGAATCAGAGTGAAGAGATCCCACTGAACCCCTCCAGCAATAACTATGACTCCAGAAATGATAAGAAACAGGGATAAAGATCAAGTACAATAAATAGGACCCAACTCTAAGATTAAAGACAAAACAGAAATAAACCTGCTTAAATAAAACATAAATCTAAGACTGACAGATCAAAGAAAGTCTAGTAAATTAACTGCCTAGTGGAGCAAAACTCAGTATCCTTTTAAAAAAGAACATAATCAGGAGTCCCTGCAGTGTCATAAAATATAAAATTTAAAGTCCAAAATACATACATAAAATACATAGATAAAAATCATGCAATCTAAACTCTAAAAGTGTAACGTTTAAAATCTAAAATACATACAATCTAAAATAATGCAAAGAAGCAAAGAAATAAAAAACAGTTTATATAAAAAATAATAGAAACCTTGAGATGATCCAGATGTTAAAATCATCAAACAGAAACTTTAAAGTTGCTACTATAAATATGCTTAAGAATATAAAGAAATGAATGAACATAATAAATGAATACACAGGGACTTTCAGAAGGTATTTTGAACATATATAAAAATAACCATATATAGATATATTTTTTTCAAGATGGCAGATTAGAGGCTTTTCCAGCATGCCTTACCCACTTGAAAGAAGCAAAATAATATGTAGAGATTTGCACCATGATCTTTTATCCAAGAAGGAACATGGGAATTCACCAGAAAAGTAAAGAATACTTCAGATACCAGAGGGAAGAGAAGGTGGACAGGCAACCTCTGCGGCATGGTCTAACTGAAGTCTGTGAGTGAAGGCCCAAAATGAGAGGGGAAGTGAGTGTCCCACTGTGGTCCACCTTTCCACTGGAAAACTGTATAACCCCATTCCACGGGAGAGCATCTTGTCCTTTCCAAGGGCTAGAGCTAACCTGGCAAGAGGCTGGGAAACTCTAAAAGGATAGGCACCAGGATGTACCCCAGGCATTTTCCCAGACCCAGGACCAATAGGAGGGCACCATTATCAATTGTGACTTAGACTAAGCTGTACAGGATTCAGCAAGCCTAGAAGAAGCTACTGCCAAGGGCATTAGAGTATCTTGGGCTAAAGATTGGAGTGCTGGGTCTGGAGAAGGGCCACCACAGGCAGAACTGAATGGCAAGTATAAAATATGCTCTAGCCTTAAATGCTGGAGTTGGGCTATCTCTTTACAGCAGCAGAGCAGGAGATTTGTTGGAGCTACAGTTTTGTCTAGGCTGCAAGATTTGTGGGCAGGGATGGCTTTGCGATCTAAACCCAGTGTGTGTGTGACTTTACTGAGTGTTCCAGCTCACTTCATTGGTTAGGATGGGGGGTAATGAGTCCTGCCAGTTATAAGGAGTGAGAAGGAGGCAGGTCTCACACTTGCTCACCTGGATTAGGAGCTTGGCCCACCATTCCCTTCCCGTGCAAGGAACTTGCTCACCTGGATTAGGAGCTTGGCCCACCATTCCCTTCCCATGCGAGGAACTCCCATGCAAGAATATTGGCCCTACTCAATATACATTATAGTCATATCCTCAAGGAAAATAAAAGTTCCATCCAAATGAAGGTAAATTCAAAAATAAGAAGCGACAGTTCCTCCAGATGAGAATATATCATCATAACAATCCTAGAATTGTAAAAAAGTAGAGTGTTATGACACCCCAAAAGACCTCATCGAATTTCTAGCAATGAATCCTAACCGAAACAAAATTTTTGAAATGCCAGGAAAATAATTTAAAATATTGATTTTAAAGATGCTCAATGAGATCCAAGAAAAATTTGTAAACCAATTCAAAGAAATCAGAAAATCATTTCAGGATATTAATGAGAAATTTACCAAGGGCATAGATATCTTTTTAAAAAGCCAAAGAAAAACTTTTGGAAATGAAAAATTCATTGAAGAAATTACAAAATTTGTAAGGGAAAAAGTTTTATCCAAATGAATCAGCATAACAATTCTGGAAGTGTGAAAAATTGTCAGGTCAAATGAAAATGTTAACAATAGACTATACCAAGATGAAGAGAGAATCTCAAAACTTGAATACACGTCTTTTGAATTAATTTGGTCAGACAAAAATAAAGAAAAAAGAATAAAAAAGAATTAATAAAATCTTCAGGAAGTATGGGACTACACAAAGCACTCAAACTTATGAATCATTTGTATTACCAAAGGAGAAGAAAAAACAAAAAGTTTGGAAAACCTATTTGAGGAATTAATTGATGAAAACTTCCCGAGTCTTGCAAGAGATTTAGACATCGAGTACAAGAGGCCCAGCAAACACCAGGAAAATACATTGTAAAATGTACTTAACCACAACATATAGTCATTAGATGGTCTAAAGTCAATGTCAAAGAAAAAAAATCCTAAAATCAGCAAAAGTGTCTAGTCATCTATAACAGAAACCCCATCAGATTAAGAGTAGACTTCTTAGCAGAAACCCTAACATTCAGGAGAGATTTGGAGCCTATTGTCAGGCTTCTTAAAGAAAGAAGTGTCAATCATGAATTGTATATCCTGCCAAAATAAGCTTTATAAATGAAGGAGAAACAATATCTTTCTCAGAAAAACAAATGCTGAGGGAATTTTTCACTTTTAGACCTGTCCTATGAGAAATGCTCAAAGGAGTTTTAAACATGAAAATGAAATGTCAATACTTACCATCATAAAAACACAAAAGTATAAAACTCACAGGTCTTATAAAATAATTATAGAAAGAAGGAAGAGAAAGAATCAAATGGAAACACAGCCAAGCTCCATTAAATCACAAAGACAGACAGAAAGGAAAAATAAGAAACAACCCACAAAAACAACTAGATAACAATTAACATTACGATAGGAACAAAATCTCATGTATGCATACTAACCTTGAACATATATGGATTCAATGCTCTACTTAAAAGCTATAGATTTGCAGAATGGATAAAAGAAAAACCAACTATATGCTGCTTACAAAAAAAAACTTTACTGGTAAAACACTTATGGATTGAAGCAAAGGCATGGAAAAAGATACTACAAACAACAGAAACTGAGAGCAAGCAGGAGTAGCCATATTTATATAAGAAAAAAACAGACTTTAATTAATAAAAGAGTAAAAAAACCCACAAATAATGTTATTATGTAATGATAAATGGAGCAAATTTAACAAGGATATAAGTATTCTAAATATATATGTAACCAGCACTAGAGCACCCAAATTCATGAAACAAGTATAGCTAGACTTAAAGAAACACATAGGTACCAACATAATAATAGTGGGGGACTTTGACACTTCTATGACAGCAGTAGACAGGTTATTGAGATAGAACATCAACAAAGAAACACTGGACTTAAATTGGAGTTTAGACCAAATGGGCCTAACAGACATTCACGATCATTCTATCCAACAAGTTCAGAATATACATTTTTTCTCGTCAGCACATGGAACATTCTCCAAGATACACAGCCACAAAATTAGCTTCTATAAATTTTAAAATATTGAAATCATATCAAGTATCTTCTCAGACCACAGTGAAATAAAACTAGAAATCAATACCAAGAGGAGTTCTTGAAATTATAAAAATACTTGGAAATTAAACAGCATGCTCCTGAACAATCTTTGGGTCAATAATGAAATTAAGGTGGGTATTTTAAAATATTTGGAATGAATAAAAATGCAGATACAACATACCAAAACTTCTGGGATACAGCAAAACCAGTGCTAATGGGGAAGTTTATAGTGTTAAATACCTTCATCGAAAAAGTGAACATACTGTCACACCTCAAAGAACTAGGAAAAGAAAACCAAAACAAACACAAAACTAGCAGAAGAACAACAATAACAAAGATCAGAACAGAGCTAAATGAAATTGAGACCACAGTGAAACAAAGGACCAATGAAATGAAAAGTTGGTTTATTTATCTTTGAAAAGATAAACAAAATTGAAAAACTGCCAGCTCAATTAATCAACAAGAGAGAAGATCCAAATAAATATAATTAGAAATTTAAATGGAAATATTACAAAGGATACCACAGAAATACAAAAGATCAGAGGCTACTATAAACATCTCTGTGCTCATAAACTAGAAAATCTAGAGAAAATGGATAAATTCCTGGACACAAAACCTTTCAAGATTGAACCAGGAAGAAACAGAAATTTTGAACAGACCAATAATGAGTAGTGAGATTGAGTCAGTAATAAAATATCTCCCCCTAGAAAAAAGATCAGGACCAGATGGATTCACAGCTGCATTCTACCAAACATACAAAGAAGAACTCGTACCAGGCTGGGCTCGGTGGCTCACGCCTGTAATCCTAGCACTTTGGGAGGCTGAGGCAGGTGGATTGCCTGGGCTCAGGAGTTCAGAACTAGCCTGGGCAACATGGTGAAACCCCATCTCTACTAAAATACAAAAAGTTAGCCAGGTGTGGTGGCGTGCACCTGTAATGCCAGCTACTTAGATGCTGAGACAGGAGGATCACTTGAACCCAGGAGGTGGAGGTTGTAGTGAGCTGAGATTAGGCTACTGCACTCCAGCCTGGGTGACAGAGCAAGACTCCATCTCAAAAAAAGAAAAAAAAAAAAAAAAGAACTGGTATCAATACTAACTGGAACTGTTCCAAAAAATCGAGGAGGAGGGAATCCTCCCTAACTCATTCTATGAAGACAGTATCATCCTGATACCAAAGTCAGATGAGGACATGATGAAAAAAGAAAACTACAGACCAATATCCCTGGATGATCACAGATGCAAAAATCCTTAACAAAATACTAGCAAACCAAATCCAACAGCACATCAAAAAGATAATTCTTCAGGACCAAGCAGGTTTTATTCTAGGGATGCAAGGATGGTTCAATCAATAAATGTGCTTCATCACACAAGCAGGATTAAAAACAAAAACTTTATGATCATTCAATAGATGCAGAAAGAGCATTCAATAAAATTCAGCATCCCTGCGTAACAAAAACCTTCAAAAAACTAGTCATAGAAGGAACATACATCAAAATAATAAGAGCCATATATGACAAACCCACTGCCAACATCATGCTTAATGGGGAAAAGTTGAAAGCAATTCTCCTAAGAACTGAAACAAGACAAGAATGTCCACTTTCACTACATATATATTCAACATAGTACTGGAAGCCTTAGCCAGAGCAATGAGGCAAGAGAAATAAATAAAAGACATTCAAATAGGAAAAGAAGAAATCAAATGATCTCTGTTTACTGATTATATGATCTTAAGCCCAGGAAACCCTAAAGACTCCTCAAACAACCTTAGATTTGATACATGAATTCAGTAAAGTTTCAGGTACAAAATCAACATACAAAAATTAGTAGCATTTTGGCTGGGTGTGGTGGCTCACGCCTGTAATCCCAGCACTTTGGGAGGCCAAGGTGGGCGGATCACTGGAGGTCAGGAGTTTGAGACCAGTCTGGCCAACATGGCAAAACCCTATTTCTACTAAAAATCCAAAAATTACCAGGGCCTGGTCATGCACACCTGTAATCCCAGCTACTTGAGAGGCTGAGGCAGGAGAATCACTTGTACCCGGGAGGCAGAGTTTGCAGTGAGCTGAGATCATGCCACTGCATTCCAGTTTGGGTGACAGAGCAAGACTCCATCTAAAAAAAAAAAAAAAAAATTAGTAGCATTTCTATATACCAAATAACAAGCTGAAACCCAAATTAAGGCAATTCCATTTACAATAATTATATTTTTAAAAACCCTTGGAATATATTTAACCAAGGGGCAAAAAATCTCTATAAGGAAAACTAGAAAACACTTATGAAAAAAATGTAGATGACACAAACAAATAAAAAAAATCTTATGCTTATGTATTGGAAGAATTAGTATCATACTGCCTAAAGCAATATACAGATTCAATGCAATCCCTATAAAAAATCAACATCATTTTCCTGATAATTAGAAAAAAAAATCTATATAAAACCAAATAAAAAGAGCCCAAATAGCTAAAGGAATTTTAACCAGAAAGAATAAAACTGGAGGTATTACCTTGTCTGAAATCAAATTATACTACAAGGAGATAGTAATCAAAATAGCTTGGTACTGGCATAAAAATAGATACATAGATTAGTGGAATAGAATAGAGAACCCAGAAATAAAGTCACACATACCTACAGCCAACTGAGAGTCAACAAAAACATACACTGGGGAAAGTACATCCTTTTCAATAAGGGGTCCTGGGAAAATTAGATTGCTATCGGCAGAAGAATGAAACTGGAACCCTCTCTGTCAACATATACAAAAATCAATTCAAGATGGATGAAAGACTTAAATGTAAGACCTGAAATTATAAAAATTCTAGAAAAAAACCTAGGGAACACTCTTCTGTACATTGGTCTAGGTGAGATCTAAAAACACAAGCAAGAAAAACAGAAATAGACAAATGGGACTTAAAAGCTTCTACAGCAAAATAAATAATCAACAGAGTAAACAGATAACCTGCAAAATGGAAGAAAATATTTGCAAACTATGAATCAACAGGGGACTTATATCTAGAATTTACAAGGAACTCAAAAACCTCAGCAACAACAGTAAATAAGCAAATAACCCTATTAAAAAGTGTGAAAAGATCAGTTGGCTGTTAAGTATTTGGGTTTATTTTTGGATAATCTACTCTGTTCCGTTGGTCTAAGTGCCTATTTTTATACCAATACCATGCTGTTTTGGTGACTATGGCTTTAATAGTATACTTTGAAATCAGGTAATGTGATGCCTCTAGATTTGTTATTTTTGCTTAGTCTTCCTTTGGCTATGTGGGCTCTTTTTTGGTTCCATATAAATTTTAGGATTGTCTTTTCCAGTTCTGTGAAAACTGATGGTGGTATTTTGATGGGAATTGCATTGAATTTGTGGATGGCAGTGGTAGCTAAGCTATGAGGATGCAAAGGCAAAAGAATGATACAATGGACTTTGGTGACTCAGGGGAAAGGGTGGGAGGGGATTTAGGGATAAAAAACTACATATTGGGTTCAACATATACTGCTCTGGTGATGGGTGCAGCAAAATCTCACAAATCACCACTAAATAACTTACTCATGTAGACAAATGCCACCTGTTCCCCAAAAACTCATGGAATTAAAAAAAAGTATGTAAAGGACATAAATCAACACTTTTCAAAAGAAGACACATAGATGGCCAATAAGCATGTGAAAAAATGTTCAACATCGCTAATCATCAATGAGATATACAAGTCAGATGGCTATTATTAAACAGACAAAAAATAATAGATGTTGGAGAGGACATGGAGAAAAGGGAACACTTATACACATTTGGCAGAAATGTAAATTAGTACAACCTCTATGGAAAACAATATGGATATTTTTCAAAGAACTAAAAATAGAGCTACAAATCAATCCAGCAATTCCACTACTGGATATCTACCCAAAGGAAAAGAAATTATTATGCCAAAAAGACACCAGCACTTGTAGGCTTATAGCAGCACTAGTCACAATAGCAAAGATATAGAATCAACCTAAGTGTCCATCAATGTATAACTCAATAAAGAAAATGTAGGAAAAACTGAATACTGTTTAGCCATAAAAAATAATAAAATCACGTGTTTTGCAGCAATGTAGATAGAACTGGAAGCCATTATCTTAAGTGAAACAACTCAGAATCAGAAAGTCAACTGCCACGTGTTGTCACTTATAAGTGGAAGGTAAATAATGTGTACACATGGACATGGATTGTGGAATAATAGTCATTGGAGACTTGGAAAAGTGAGAGGATGGTAGAGGAGTGAAGGATGATAAATTACTTGATGGGTTAATGCACACTATTTGGGTGATTATTATACTAAAAGCCCAGCCTTCACCACTACACAATATATCCATGTAACAAAACTACACTTGTACCCACTTAAATTTATAGTAAATAAATAAAAAAGGCCGGGCCTGATGGCTCACGCCTGTAATCCCAGCACTTTGGAAGCCAAGGCGGGTGGATCATGAGGTCAGGAGATCTAGACCATCCTGGCTAGCACAGTGGAACCCCGTCTCTACTAAAAAATACAAACAATTAGCCAGGCCTGGTGGCGGGTGCCTGTAGTCCCAGCTACTCAGGAGGCTGAGGCAGGAGAATGGCGTGAACCCGGGAGGCAGAGCTTGCAGTGAGCCGAGATTGGGCCACTGCACTCTAGCCTGGGCGACAGAGCAAGACTCTGTCTCAAAAAATAATAATAATACTAAAATAAATAAATAAATAGACTAACTATGAAAAATTCAAGAGAAAATAGGCCAATATCTGAAAACTCACTGGTTTATTTTAACAGGAGTTTTTACATGAAAGAAGAAAGGATCAATGAAATTTAAGACAAGTAAATATAAAATATCCAAACTGAAGAACAGAGAGAAGGAAAGAAGATTGGGAAAAAAAACAGAGCCTTAGTAAAAAATATGATGATATCAATCAGACTAAAAAATGCGATTCAAGTCACAGATGAAGAGAAAGAAGAGAAAGTAAAATAGCAAAATTTAAAAAATATTATAGCTGGAAATTTCCAATATTTGGTGACAAACACCCAAGATGTTCAGCAAACCCCAAGTAGAATAAATACAAATAAAATCATGTCTAGATATAACCTAGTCAAATTGCTGAAAACTAGAGATTAAAAAAATTAAAAAGCAGCCAGAGATAAAAAAGACCCACTACATACAGGGAACAAAAATAAGGATAGATGCTGACTTCTTATCAGGTACAATGGCAGCCGGACAATTTGTACAGTAAAAACATCCTTTAAAAATGAGAATGAAGTAGTGATATATTTATGTTTAAAAAGCTGTGAAAATTAATCACCGGAAGAATGTACTATAAGAAATGTTAAAATATGTTCCTCGGGTCATATGAAAAGAAATGAAGAACATGGAATCAAATAATAATAAAGTAAGACATATCAAAACAAAAAGTGAAGTACTGGCATGCTAGAGTTGGAAATTCATAACCTTAGATACCTAAATTAAAAAGGGAAAAAGACATACTCAGTGATATATGAAGATTTAAAAGAAGAGAAAATTCAGCCCAAAATAATGGGAAGAAATGATAAAGATAAGAGTATGAATCAATACAATAGAAAAAAAATGAAAAAATTAAGCCAAAGTTAGTTCTTTGAATAACTTTTGAATAACAAATAGAACTAGTTTGTCTAATAAAATTGACAAACTCCTAGCAAGACCAATCAAAAAATAAAAATTAAATGTAAGTTATCAAAACAATAAAGAGAGTAAAGCACTCACCAACATCTCATTCACAAATGCTATGAATATAAAAGAATAATTTGGAAATATTAAAAAGACTTTGGTAATAAATTTGACACATTTGATAAAATGAACAAATTTATCAGGAAAACACAAATGACCAAAAGTGACACAAGAAAAAGTTTAAAAACCTATATCTTTATCTATTACAAGAGTAGAATTTGAAATGTTAAATCTTTTCATGAAAAGAACTCTAGACCCAGTTGTTTTCTCAAATGAGTTTCATCAAACTTTTAAAGAAGAGCTCATTTTAATTTTACCTAAATACTTTCAGAAAATTGAAAAGGAGGGTAAAATTCCTAACTTGTTTTACGAACTGAATATAACCCTCTTATCAAAACCTGGAAGGGCATTATCAAAAAGAAAATTACACACCAATATCCCTCCAATCATAGGCACTGTCAAGAATTGCAAAATGTCTGGTAATTTATCCTATTTTCTTGCTAACAAGTTAACTGGCCACATTTCATTGTATTTTGGCAGAAAGCAGAAGACTCCTCCATAGTCAACAAATTTTTGTCAATTTCCTTTGTCCCCAAGCTGCTCAGAATGATGCTGATGGGCTCATATGAAAGCCTGCACAGACAGTTTGGTGTATTACAGCAAAGAAACCCTGAGCTTAAGGAATCAACGTTATTTATAATGGAGAGTAAGCTTTGTTCCAGAGATACACTATCCTATCTCTATTTTCCAAGATTGTTTACTATACAAACATCCTTGAAAACTGGAAACAATCCAATTAACCATCAACAAAACAATTAATAAACATCAGGAGAATAAGTGAAAATGCAACTGTATATTAATACAATATAATATGCAGAGCAGTTTAAAAAACTAAACTACAGATACATGTAACAACACAGAAAATGTAAAAAATAAAACTATTTCAAATAAAAGAAGCTCAATACAAAATATTAAATATGATTATCAAAAGTTCAAAAATGAACACAAGTAATTTGTAGTGAAAAAAATTCAGCATAATTTTTGGCTGTTGTGGGGAATAGAGAGATGCAGAAGGTGGAGGGTAGAAATATTGACTAAAAGGAGGCTTGAAATGACTCTCTGGGAGTGAGGAAAATGTTTTCAAAAAATCTTGATTATTACGTCAAATATCATTGATCATAAAATTAAGATCTGAGCATGTCACTGAACATAATATTGCTTTAATTTAGAGAGAAAAAAATTCTCAACTATTTTTCCAATTAATACTTAATTATATCAAATTACAAAAATAAAAGAATCCCAATGGGTCTGTTTTGAGTTGCTTTCTTCTCTAAGTTATTTCAAGAGAATTATCATGTTTGTAATAATCACATAACTCCTGGGTTCTCCACTCTTATTGCAAAATTTTGCTCTTCATTTTATATATATTGTTGCTGATTTAATGAGATTTTAAAAAATGTTCTGCTGTGTCACTGTTGCTATAATGGAAAGCTGCGTATTTCTCATACTATGGTGGTGAGTTAACCTTTCAACCATGGCCTCTAGTTTGAGCCTGTCTGTCATTTTCTGTTAGAAATTCCTGGGTGTTTCTGATAGCTTCATGGAGCTTTCTTAGTTTTTAGAATTGCTACATGTTTGCCTTTATTTTCATATCATGTTGGTCACTGCATTATCAGTCTGAGAAAGATAGTGAAAATCCTGTAATCACATTGACACTGAACTCAGAAATCTGGATATCTTTTCTCTGGGGAGGCTTTATCTTCCTCATTTGAAAAGAAATACAAATAATAAAGCAATCAAGTTCACCAGCCAATGATGATTTCATCTGGCCACATGTTGGTGGCTGAAAAAGAGATTTACTTCCTAAGTAGGCCCCAACAATTGACTATACATTATGAAAAGTATGCATGTAGCAATTGAAATTGCGGAACTCAACCTGGAACTGTCCTGCTGAAGTGTTCTGGGGGAGGGGATTAATATGGATTCTGGAGATGACTAATAGCTTGAGAATATAGATTATCCTGTCTCCTGCTAGTGGCTTCTCCCCACGGGCATACAGTACATGCTGTCCATCCTGGGGTGTAAACAGCAGAGGGCGTCTTTCAAAGTCGTTCCACTGGAATCTGATAAAGATCTAACCTTTTCAGCCCATAAATTTTAGACACTTTCAGATACACATTACTTTTTCTGTGAGGCACACTTGACATTTATGGTAGCTTTTAGTCTTTTTTTTTTTAATTTTTCATGTGTTTTTATTAGAAATAGGCACAGATCTTGCTCAACAAGATAAATGGGTCTGACCTCTGTTGTCTTTATTTTTCCACAATTGTTGCTTCATTTTCATCTATAATTCAGTCACTATTTCCTTTCGCAAGGAAATCTTGAGATAGGGATCTTGGTTTTATATTTTGTTTTTACATTACCTTCAAGCATACTGAAAACATTCTGCTATATCAGTATGATATAAATAGTGAAGTTGACTAGATTTCACCAAGTCAGTTTTTAAAATTAAAAAAAAACATACAGATGTTTTGCTGTTCCTGCTCCGTTTAGCAGTTTTTTTTTTTATTATACTTTAATTTTTAGGGTACATGTGCACATTGTGCAGGTTAGTTACATATGTATACATGTGCCATGCTGGTGCGCTGCACCCACTAACTCGTCATCTAGCATTAGGTATGTCTCCCAATGCTATCCCTCCCCCCTCCCCCGACCCCACCACAGTCCCCAGAGTGTGATATTCCCCTTCCTGTGTCCATGTGATCTCATTGTTCAATTCCCACCTATGAGTGAGAATATGCGGTGTTTGGTTTTTTGTTCTTGCGATAGTTTACTGAGAATGATGATTTCCAATTTCATCCATGTCCCCACAAAGGACATGAACTCATCATTTTTTATGGCTGCATAGTATTCCATGGTGTATATGTGCCACATTTTCTTAATCCAGTCTATCATTGTTGGACATTTGGGTTGGTTCCAAGTCTTTGCTATTGCGAATAATGCCGCAATAAACATACGTGTGCATGTGTCTTTATAGCAGCATGATTTATAGTCCTTTGGGTATATACCCAGTAATGGGATGGCTGGGTCAAATGGTATTTCTAGTTCTAGATCCCTGAGGAATCACCACACTGACTTCCACAATGGTTGAACTAGTTTACAGTCCCACCAACAGTGTAAAAGTGTTCCTATTTCTCCACATCCTCTCCAGCACCTGTTGTTTCCTGACTTTTTAATGATTGCCATTCTAACTGGTGTGAGATGGTAACTCATTGTGGTTTTGATTTGCATTTCTCTGATGGCCAGTGATGATGAGCATTTTTTCATGTGTTTTTTGGCTGCATAAATGTCTTCTTTTGAGAAGTGTCTGTTCATGTCCTTCGCCCACTTTTTGATGGGGTTGTTTGTTTTTTTCTTGTAAATTTGTTTGAGTTCATTGTAGATTCTGGATATTAGCCCTTTGTCAGATAAGTAGGTTGTGAAAATTTTCTCCCATTTTGTAGGTTGCCTGTTCACTCTGATGGTAGTTTCTTTTGCTGTGCAGAAGCTCTTTAGTTTAAAAAGCCAGGCAGAGACACAACCAAAAAAGAGAATTTTAGACCAATATCCTTGATGAACATTGATGCAAAAATCCTCAATAAAATACTGGCAAAACGAATCCAGCAGCACATTAAAAAGCTTATCCACCATGATCAAGTGGGCTTCATCCCTGGGATGCAAGGCTAGTTCAATATACGCAAGTCAATAAATGTAATCCAGCATATAAACAGAGCCAAAGACAAAAACCACATGATTATCTCAGTAGATGCAGAAAAAGCCTTTGACAAAATTCAACAACCCTTCATGCTAAAAACTCTCAATAGATTAGGTATTGATGGGACGTATTTCAAAATAATAAGAGCTATCTATGACAAACCCACAGCCAATATCATACTGAATGGGCAAAAACTGGAAGCATTCCCTTTGAAAACTGGCACAAGACAGGGATGCCCTCTCTCACCACTCCTATTCAACATAGTGTTGGAAGTTCTGGCCAGGGCAATTAGGCAGGAGAAGGAAATAAAGGGTATTCAATTAGGAAAAGAGGAAGTCAAATTGTCCCTGTTTGCAGATAACATGATTGTATATCTAGAAAACCCCATTGTCTCAGCCCAAAATCTCCTTAAGCTGATAAGCAACTTTAGCAAAGTCTCAGGATACAAAATCAATGTACAAAAATCACAAGCATTCTTATACACCAACAACAGACAAACAGAGAGCCAAATCATGAGTGAACTCCCATTCACAATTGCTTCAAAGAGAATAAAATACCTGGGAATCCAACTTACAAGGGATGTGAAGGACCTCTTCAAGGAGAACTACAAACCACTGCTCAAGGAAATAAAAAAGGATACAAACAAATGGAAGAACATTCCATGCTCATGGGTAGAAAGACTCAATATCGTGAAAATGGCCATACTGCCCAAGGTAATTTACAGATTCAATGCCATCCCCATCAAGCTACCAATGCCTTTCTTCACAGAATTGGAAAAAACTACTTTAAAGTTCATATGGAACCAAAAAAGAGCCCGCATCGCCAAGTCAATCCTAAGCCAAAAGAACAAAGCTGGAGGCATCACACTACCTGACTTCAAACTATACTACAGGGCTACAGTAACCAAAACAGCATGGTACTGGTACGAAAACAGAGATATAGATCAATGGAACAGAACAGAGCCCTCAGAAATAACGCCGCATATCTACAACTATCTGATCTTTGACAAACCTGAGAAAAACAAGCAATGGGGAAAGGATTCCCTATTTAATAAATGGTGCTGGGAAAACTGGCTAGCCATATGTAGAAAGCTGAAACTGGATCCCTTCCTTACACCTTATACAAAAATCAATTCAAGATGGATTAAAGACTTAAACGTTAGACCTAAAACCATAAAAACCCTAGAAGAAAATCTAGGCATTCAGGAAATCTGTGTCCATTCAGGACATAGGCATGGGCAAGGACTTCATGTCTAAAACACCAAAAGCAATGGCAACAAAAGCCAAAATTGACAAATAGGAGCTTTTAGTCATTTTTAATCAAATAGCTTTACTCAGCCTCTAAGGTTTTTAACTTGTTTTTGTTGTTGTTTTATTGAAGTATAACATACATGCAGGAAAGTGCATAAACTACAAATGTACAGCTCAATGAACTTTGAAACACACTTATGTAACCAGTTTCCAGATCACAATATTTAATATTACTGGCACTCCAGAAGCCTCCTCGTGCCTTTTCCTAGTACCGTTCTCCACCTTGACTTCTAATGGCATCGATTACTTTTGTCTATTTTTTGGAATTGCATGTAAATAGAAGCCTACAGTGTGTATTTCACCAAGTTCAAAGCTATTCCTCTAGCAATAACTTCTTCTTCTCATTGTTTTATAGTGTATTATAATATATAATAGTTATATATTTATTCATTCATTTCTACTCTTGATAGACATTTGAGCCATTTTTCAGTTTTTGATGAACATTCTTGTGCATGTATTTTAATAATAATAGTTAAGTATTTCTGTTGAGTATATTATTGTTGGGACAGAGAATACGTGTGTGTTGAGTTTTAATAGATGCTGTCAAATAGTTTTCTAAAGTAGTTTTACCATTTATACTCCCATCAGCTGTGCGTGAGATTTCTACCTACTCCACATACTCAACAATATGTGATGTTGTCAGTAATTTTCATTTTAGCCTTTCTAGTTTGTATGTAGTGGTATTACATTGTGGTTTTAATTTCTATTTCCTTGATGACTTATAAATGTACTCATCTTCTCACATGTTTTTTGGCTTCTTAGATACTCTCTTTTGTAAAGTATTTGCTCAAATATTTGCCTATTTTAAATTAAGTTGTCTGACTTTTATGAACTTAAAGGAGTTCTTTATATATTTTGAATACAAGTCCTTTGCTATAGCTATTTATTTAAAATATCTTCCATTGTGTGACTGCTCTTTCCCTCTTTAAGGGTGTCTTTTGATGTACAAACATACCTAATTTCAATATATGTAATGTACTTAATGCTGAAATATTGAAAGTTTTCCCCGAAACTGGAAACATGACAATTACTATTTATTGTCAACTGTTTTATTCTCTATACAGTTATGCATCACTTATCAATCAACTGGGATATGTTCTATGAAGTATTCCATTAGGCAATTTCATCATTGTGCAAACATCATGGAGTATACTTACATAAACCTAGATAGTATAGCCTATTTACTACACACCCAGACTATATGGAATAACCTTTTGCTCCTAGGCTACAAACCTGTATAGCAAACTACTATACTGAATACTATAGGCAATTATAACAAAATGATAAGTATTTGTATATCTAAGCATAGAAAGAACACAGTAAAAATATGGTATAAAAGATAAAAATGGTCTCCTGTATAGAGCACTTACCATGAATGGAGCTTGCAGGGCTGGAAATTGCTCTGGGTGGGTCACTGAGTGAGTGATGAGTGAATGTGAAGGCTCAGGACATTACTGTACACTGCTGAAGGCTTTATAAACACTGTATACTTAGGCTGCATTACATTTATTAAAATTTGTTCTTTCTTCAATGATAAATTAACCTTAGCTTACTACAACTTTTTACTTTATAAGCTTTTAAATCATTTTTTAAAACTGTTTGACTCTTTCATAGTAACATATAGCTTAAAACACAAACACATTGTACAACTGCACAAAAATATTTTCTGTCTTTACATTCTTATCAGATAAGCTTTTTCTAATTTTAAAACTTTTAATTTTAAAAAAACTTTTAAAACTTTTTTATTACAAACTAAGATGCACAGAGTCAGGATCATCAATATCACTGTCCTCTGTTTCTACATCTTGTTCCACTGGAAGGTCTTCAGGGGCAATAACACGAAAGGAGCTGTCATCTCCTATGACAATAATGCCTTCTGAAATACCTTCTGAAGGACTTGCCTGAGGCAGTTTTACAGTTAGCTTTAAAAAAATAAATAGAAGAGGTACATTCTAAAATAACAATAACAACTATAATATAATAAACATATAAACCAGTAACATAGTTGTTTATTATCATCATCAGTATTATATACTGTACATAATACTTTTATATGGCTGGCAGCATAGTAGGTTTGTTTAAATCAGTATCACCACAAATATATTAGTAATGCATTGCACTATGGTGTTATGACTGCTGTGACATTACTAGACAATAGGATTTTTTCAGCTTTATTATAATCTTTATTATTATTATGCAGAGACAGGGTCTCGCTATATTGTCCAGGCTGGTTTCAAACTCCTGGCCTCAAGGAATCCTCCCACCTTGGCCTTCCAAAGCACTGGGATTATAGGTATGAGCCACCGCCATCGTACGCTTATGGAACTACTGCCTTATAATGTGGTCTATTGTTGATTAAACTGTCTTTATGCGGGGCATGCTGTACCAGCCATAAACAAACATAAAACGAAATTTTAAAGCAATACTATTTATAAGAGTATGCATAAACATCAAATACCTAAAAACAAATCTAACAAAAAAGAGTTGTAAGATCTCTATAACGAAAACTGCAAAACATGATGGAGGAAATTTAAAGTCCTAAATAAATGGAGACATATACTATGTTCACGTATTTAAAGACTTCTGTAAAGATACCAATTACCATCAAGCTGATCTATAGATCAAATTCAATCAATAGATTAAATTCCAAACACTCTCAGTGGAAATTGATGAATTAATTTTTTGCACTTTATTTTAAAGAATAAGGGGCCAAAAATAACCAAGACAATGTTAAAAAACAAAGCTAGAGGTCCTTAAACTTGAAGTTTTTTAGTACGTCAGAATTATTTTACTATCATATTTATTTTATCAGTATGTTCTACTTAGCTTAGACAAATTGCTGCTTGTCCTAAATCCCTCCAGTTGTTTGAACTGAGTGGTCCTAAGCTTTGTTACAGTAGATCCCTAAAGAATTGTTTATCAGAGTTGTAGTTGGCCCCACTGTTACAAGGGACCCAACCCTTGTGGAAACTGGACATACCTTGAGCTTTGTTTTGGGCACATCCCTTATTTGCTTTTAGTGCATTTTCCTTTTGCTTTTCTTTTTTCCTCTTATAATCTCTAAGCTTCTTGCCTTTACTTATGCCTTTTATCTTAGTCTTTTAACTTTCATTTTAATATTTTAATCTCATTAATTGCTAATCTCTTTCCCTTCATTTTAAAGCCCAACTATTTTGTCTTATTATTTTTAGCCCAAAGTTTGGGAATAAAAAGTTGACTTCCCTGTGGGCTAGTCTTTCAGTTATTAGTTCTCACCAAACTCATTTGTGAACAGAACCATGAGGAGCTGAATAGTAGACAGTTTAATTGAGAAACCTTATACTCATTGAGGTCTAAAAATAGTATTTGTTTGTCTTGTATCTGCTGCCCACTGTTCTCTAACCCCCTCCCTGATAAGTAACAGAAATTCTAATTATTCTTGTATGTATCTGGTTAATAATCAATCAATCAAAAATATTAGTAATGTCATATGTACTCTTTGATGTTCTAATCCCTTTCCTTAATTTCCCTATTTTGCAGATGAGGAAGTTTGGATTAAGAAACCTGCCCAGGCTCGCCCGCTAGAAAGTCATAGAGGCAAGGTTTGAACCCTGGCAGTTTGACTTTAGAGCCCATAACCATTATAAAAAGCTCATTGAGAGAAACCATTACTTATGTAAGATAGCTCTTAATATATTTAGTATATTCATTTTTCATCAAGGGCTTTTATCTAACATACTTGAATAGGCCTCATGACTTCATAAAATCCTTGAATTTGAAGGAGACTTCTATGTGTATACAGTTCAGTTCTTGATATTTGCAGTAGTTGTGCTTTATAAAGTGACCATGAACACAGAATTAGCAAATACTGAGTCATTGCTCCTAGAGGAAATTTAGTGTTATTTTCCTTGGAAAAATACAGAGATAAGCTTTTGCGAGCATCTGGGAACAACATTTCTTATCAACTGATTAATACATAACCTTGTTTTATGTGTGTTTCTGTTTAAAGACATCATATTTAATATTTATTGTTAATTTATTACCAGTGAACTCATGGCCAACATCACTATAAATCATTCCTGAATAAAGCGTATCTAACATACATTTTCTGCATAAGGCACATCCCAGCCTTCTCGTGCTTAGGAACATTAAACAGCACTTCAGCACCATGCTTGGGAGCCATTTTAAACAGAGAAATCATTAACAAAATGCAAAAAATGTGAAAAAAAATGTGGCACTAAAGGATACTCGTTTACAGTTTGAGATCGGAAACAAAAAAGCAAAGTGTCACCCGTTTCCACATCAGCTGGGAATGTGCACATCAGGAAATTCAAAGTTTTTGATGTTTTGCACATGCATACATCTGATAATGACTTTGAAAGGACCTATGGTCTTTGAGGTTACAAGTACACTTTAGTGCGTAGGTGAATTCACAAATTCAGAATCTGTGAATAATGAGGACCAATTGTATATTATCTGCTGAGAAGAAGAAGCTTAGTGATCAGCAGATCCTTAAAAAAGTCTGTGACCTCTCACTCCTTAAGGCCAAAACCAAGACCCGGAATAAGTTAAAGTTACTAGATTATTTGACTCAGGCTAAGCGTATTGAGGATATCACGAGTGAACAGTATTATATTTGCACTTTGTATAATTCCTTCTACTGTATTTTGGTGTGAACAGCAATGTTTCACACTGAGGACTAAGGAACTACCTATGTAAATACACCCTCATTTACAAGTGAAAACTTGAAATTACCTAGTGACCAAATGACCTATTATATTAATGTCACTCATTGACATTTGTCAATTTTGTCAACTTTAATCAGTAGAATTTCTAGGATCATTGTAATGATAAAGATAAGGGAAGATTTTATTCCCAATGTTGTATAGAATCATATTTATAAGAACACAGAGAAGATTTTCCTCTAATGCCAGGACAAAGTAAGCATTTTTATCTGAAGCTACTGGCTTAGTTTTATCAAGGGCACATTATAAATCTTACAGTGATTTTCTTTCTCTGCTTAATGTTCACTGCTAGAAAACTTAGCCAAATGTATGGTCCAACATCAGCTTATGTATATATGTATATTATCCTTTTGATTTTATCTTTTCAAGTATTATTTTACATATGTTCAAATTTTCTCACCTTTCCTTTTTATATTTTATTTTATTTCCCCTTAAATCATCTCTTAAACAAGAATGAGTATACATAAATAAGTTCTGCATATAGAATTGTTTTCATTTACAATCTTTTAAAATTCCAATGGGGAAATGATAGGTACCAGTATAAATGTGACTGCTGATAATTTCTGTCCAAATAAAAGGATCAAATAAATAAATTTCTTAGGCATGACATCAGACCTAGGGAATCAGTAACCCTGAGAGAGGGGTCCAGCAAGCTGGGTTTCAACAAGACCTGTGGGTGTTGGGATGCACACTCCACATTACTCCATGGGAAAATAGGTATCACATGGGTCTCACTCACGCTCTCTTTTGCCCTAAAAACAATCTTGACTGTGCATGGGCAAGTTTTCAACCTTGATTGTGTACTGGAATCATCCAGGAAGATTTTTGTAATCATGACATGCCCCAGAGCAATTACAGGAGGAGTTGAGAACCAGTTATCAATATTTTTTTTAAAGCTCCCAGGTGTTCTGATAGGCAGTCAAAGTCGAGAGCAAATTCTCTGTCTCTAAAGACAGGTTCATAGGTCCAGTCATAAAATTAATGAATATTTTCGGCATCTCTGAGTAGTTCTTCAGGCTTAATCTTCCTCCAAGAAATCCAAACTGCTATGTAGCTGTGTCATTTTGAGAAATTAATAAGCTGCATTCCCATCTCACTGCAACATAAATACCATGCTAGTCAAAGATTTAAATGTTTAAAATATTGAGTCTATAAAAGTACTAGAAGAAAATATGTTGAAATTCTGCAAAATCTTTAGGTAAAAAAGGCCTCAGAATAAATAACTGTGGCATAAACCAGAAGCAGCAGCAGGAGGCCAGATAAATCCCACTATGTAAACATGGGTACAGAATGATAATGATATCAATTATGAGCAGGCAGATTATTTCCTATGTTCCCTTTGACTTCTCTACAGTATTAACTTAAGCATGAGAACTGAACCTAGTCTTCATTGATACAAAGTGAAGAGACACCTCATGTTAGTCAAAGATAATTATGTCAGGTTCTTGGCCTTTCTGTGGCCCAATTTAAATACCAAAAAATTATGGGAGATAACTCTGAGCCAGTTTTAGTCTATCTAAAAGGAAATAAAAATTTTCTCAAAGGTAGGAGAAGGAGGTTTGGGGATCTAAGAGTGACAGGAGACTTGTACCCCATCCTTGTCTGGAACACCAGGAGGGAAGGTCCTTCACAGGAGTTGCGACTGGCATCACAGCATCATGGGACCAGTGAAGATGAAGTAGGAGAGCTGAGGCAATCCCACCAATTTCCTGTAGCTCCAGAGAGCAACGGAGGAGAAGATGAAATTACCCTGAAAAGTACACAGCTGTAAGTTCTGAGAGAGACCTATGGGACCTGAAGAGATCTCATTGGTTGTAACAAGAGCATACACCAGCAGATGGCAGCAGATGGTTGTAACAATAGGAAACCAGCAGGTGGCTGCCACGGGGTTGGGGAACACAGCCATTTTAGTGAGGCCAATCATCGGTGGGTGTAATGGCCAGCTCAGCAGATGCAAACAGGAGCAGAACCCAGCTGAGGGACCAATCATATTCCCCCAACACCATGACCCTCAGAGAACACCCAGAATTTACAGTATCCCCAGGGAGAAATAGAGGTAGAGGAGTAGAGGAAATCCTGAGTTGACCTTGTTTAAACTTGAAATGGATGGAATTACACTGGAGTGAATGCAGTTCACCTGTTATCACGTGAAACAGAGGAAGGGCTGGAGGAATGCCAAGAATATGAACAAAATTGAAGTACTCAGAAATGAAGGAAAATGTTATTTTTAATTTTTTATATACCTGAATATAGCCTGAGAAAATGATACCTTAGAAACTCTGCAAAGCAAAAAAATTATAAATTGTCAAAAGACAAACTTAGAAAGTGAGAGCAAATATTGGCAAAACAAGGGGCTAATTTTCTTTTTCTTTTTCTTTATTTGACAGAGTCTTACTCTGTCGCGCCCAGGCTGGAGTGCAGTGGCATGATCTCAGCTCACTGCAGCCTCCGCTTCCCAGGTTCAATGATTCTCCTGCTTCAGCCTCCCGAGTAGCTGGGATCACAGGCATGTGCCACCATGCCTGGCTAAAATTTGTATTTTTAAAAGAGATGGGGTTTCACCATGTTGACCAGGCTGGTCTTGAAATCCTGACCTCAAGTGATCCGTCCAACTGGGCCTCCCAAAGTGCTAGGATTACATGCGTAAGCCACCATGCCCGGCTAATTTTCTTGATATACAAAAAACTTTCAGTACCTTTTAAAAAGTTTACTTTTTATTAAACAAGGAGAACTATACAATAAGTACTGTGCAGTTCACCCACCTGGAATATACCCTCATTTCTGGAATTTTACACTGGAATAAAGAGAGCAAATAAAATAAAGTGGTCAAAAATTCAATCTGTGTAAAAAAAAAAACATACCTAATTGACACTTTTATTACTGAGAAAACATTTGGCTGAAAGATCTGAATTTACAATATATTAGTTAAATCTTAGCATATCATCCTTTCTTTTTCCAAATTGCAGCGTCATAGAATTGACATGCTAGCTGTCCTTTCCTTCTTTGCCTAGATCACGAGAAACTGTGCATGCAAATCATTCACTGGTTCCAAGAGTTTCCCCTCTAATAAGTCAGACTACAAAGAAACCCATTCTACCCACCTTTCCCTCCTCTTTCTCCCATTAATAATCAATATTAGCCAACCCCATTTAATTTTAAAGAATCGCCTTTGAATTATTTTTCAGGAATAGACAAAACTAACGGTAAGAGGTCAACATCCTCAAAGCCACTGTTACGTATTCCAGGCTTTAGTACATTATTCCTAATGGTGTCCCAGAAGTCTAGATATTTTCAACTTAGGATGATTAATAAACATTAACAAATTTTTTAGCCTAGTGTGGTGGGGTGTGCCTGCAGTCCCAGCTACACAAGAGGCTGAGGCAGGAAGATGGCTTGAGCTCAGGAGTTAAGGGATGTAATATGCTATAATCCCACCTGTGAATACCCACTGTGAAATAAAGAAAAAGTAAAGAAATTAAAAATTTTAAATTCGTTATTACATATTTGCACCCATTCTTCAAACTATCAAATATTACTGTGAATGTATCATAATTTATCCAGTTATCCATCATTTAACTGAAATGTGTTTTTTCCTCATTAATGTACTTATTAAAAAGGGGTAAACTTTTTTTAGATATATTAATATATGTTATCTACATTTTTTCTATTTTTACCTTATTTTAACTTTGCTATACAACTATACCCCTTTGTCATAGATTTAAGATAGTTCGACTTTTGCCCTGCATCCCTTACACCCTCAGTATATTCAAAGACTTTGCCCCTGCAATTATCTCTTCTCTCATTTGTATCATTAATTTTTCCTTCTCTATTCTATCATTCCCATCCTCACAAAATAACTACTGTAATAACTCCTTTCTTTAAAAAAGAAAGATTAAAACTCTCTCCACAATTCCACTTTATTGCTTCTAATTACACAACCACTCAAAATAATTGTCTTTGTTCATTTTCCACATTTTCATCTCCCTCCCATTCTCTTTTGAATCCACTCACACTACTGCTTTCAGTCTACTCTGGTTAAGGCCACCCATCATCTCCATATTATCAAATCCAGTTCTCTGAGTTCATTTACTTAAGAATGGGCCAGTCTTCATTAAAAAAAAAAAATCCTTATTTAGCTTCTGGGACTCCTAGTTTTCTTTGTATGTTGCTGTCTCCTCCTTCCTGATTTTCTGCTGGATTCACTTTCTCATATTAATTGTGGAGCCCCCTGAGGCTCAATATTTTGGACTCCTCTCTATTTACACTCACCCCCAGGTAATGAATTGCAAATATCATTTATAAGTTGGTGAGTTCAGTAGTTTTTATCTCAAGTCCCAACCTCTCCTCTAATCTCTAGAATCTTATAAAAACAGCTTATATATAGATTGTCTCCCTTAGATGTCCTAGTAGGAATAACAAAGTTGAGATGCCCAAACGAGAACCACTGATACCTCCCCAACCATCCCAAACTATTCCCCAACTTGCTCTTCCTCCAGTATTCCATATCTTGGCAAATAGCACCAACATTTCTCAGGATGCAAACTTTGCTCCTTTCCTTGATGTCCCTTTCTCTCACAGTACACATCCAATCCATCAGTAAATTCAACTGGCCTACTCGCACAATTCAGAATCTGACCATTTAGCACAATCTTTACCACTCTCAACATGATCAAAACCATCAGTTTCTGTCTCTAGGAATTTTGCTAGCCTAAATGATCTCCCTCCTTTACGCCATCACCATGCCTCCCCTTCATTGTTTATTGTCCATTTGAAAGCCAGAGTAATATTTTTCCAATGAATTAGGTACTCTCCTTCTCCAATAGCTTTTTATCATACTTATAATAACATTAAAATCCCATACAAAGCTTTACATGAGCTGGTCCCTGGCCAAATTACCAATTTCATTTCCAATTTATTCTTCCTCTCTCTCTTTGCTCTAGCCACACTGGTGTTTCTGTTTCTCCCAAACATAACCAGCATGTTCCTAATTCCAAGTCTTTTCCCTTACTATTCCCTCTACCAAGAATGATCTTCTCCCAGATGTCTTTCTGGCTTGCTCCCTGGCTTCATTAAGGTCTCTGGTCAAATGTTCTTTTCCCTTACTCTCACTCCTCCCTATCCCCACATCAAACACAGAATCCTCCTTAACTTCTATCATCTTCCCCTACTTTAATTTTCCTCTTGATTCTTCTGACTCATGGTATTATTTCTATATCTACTTGTTTGTTTATTTTCTTTCCTCCACTGATCTTGAGAGATAAAGAGTTCTACTTTATTTAATCCTTTATCCCAGGCATCAAGACTAGAGTCTGGCACATAATAGTTGTTCAATAAATATATGTTGAATGAAAGAAAGGATAAATATTTAGCTCTCTAGTTTCACTGTAATTTATTTTAGTGTATAGTGTATTAAAAGAACCTAAACAGTGTTACTTCAGCATAGCTAACTAGTTTTATGAAATCCATTTATGATACACATTTTTGCTTCACAGTCGTTTATAATACCTCCATATCATTTATTAAATTACATAATAAGTTATCTTTGGGGGCTGTTTAATGTATTTCATTGTTTTCTATGCCAGTAGAACTTCTAAAAATAGTTATATGATATATTTTAATATTTGATAGAAATAATCTCTCTAGATTATTCTGATTTACAAAATTTCTTAATTATAATAGCTTTTAATTCTTTCAGAGCACTGTTAGAAACACTTTGCCAACTTGTAAAATTATTCATTGGGATTTTCATAAAAACTATAATTGATTTTGAAATGGTTGATAACTTAAATGTATTAATTCTTCCTAATATGATAAGCATCCCTATTTATTAAAAACTAAGTGGAGTGTTATAGTATTCCTCATAAGAGTTTCACAGATTGTTCATTAAGTATTTTCTTTGTAGTTTATTTTTAATGGCATTGAAAATGAATTTTCCACACTGTACTTTTTATTTATGTAAATAAAAATAAAAATACTTATTTACTTATTTTTATTATTAAAATATATAAAGGCTATTGATTTTGCCTTTTAAAAAGATTTTCCTTTGTGTTATTTTCATACCGTCAGTTGACACCAACCAATGAAAATATAATTAAATTATTAACCATATCTCTTTATCACAGATGATGCCTATTTTTAAATCAACTTTCTGGTGAAAAATAATGAGAACTACAACAACAGTAATAATAACCTCCAGTTAGCCAATGTGACAAAATGGCAAAAGAATTCAATTTTGGAGCTTCTTTAAACATTTTTTTTCATCTTAAAATGCTACATAATTAAATATGATTGGATTGGACTTTTATGGCATAAAAATTTCAAAGTCAAACTCTCAGTTACTACTTGCTGGATTATCTGTAGAATCCTTTTCATATTCCACTTCCTTCCCCCTCCCAAAGCTCGTTGCCCTCTCTCCTAACCATTCTGCAGCCTGATGATATGCTCTTGATGATTCCAAACTAAGGCCAAACCAAGAAGTCAGGGACAGACTTGGGGGCAGGTGTGTTGAAAGCATGAGTGGTGGTGAGAAGTCATGGAAAAGCAGTGTGTGCATTTTTATTAGAATGAGCTTCTTGCTGAGTCTCTCCATTAAAAAAATAATGTTACTACTAAAAATGTCCCTCCCATGATAGATGTTGTTTATTTTACACAGAAAAACATTTCCTGACGGCTGTTTTTCAACATTTAATCTTGTGACAATAAGAAAACATGAGGTAAAATATATTAAATACACTCAATATGCATTACACATTTCTGAATCACTATTCAATTTTACTAAGTGAACACACAGTAATTAGTTTGATCCTCTTTAAGAGAACAAAGCATTGACTGATTTCATTGTGCTGGGTAAATCAGTCACTATATGCCTTTCATTCATGGTTAGCACATCTCATGTTGCCAGAGTGGAATTTTTTGGGGGCTTCTGAGTCTGTTCATCAATCTCATGAAATTGATGGGTTGAACAGCACTGAAGACAAGGGAAAGAAAGCTCTGAAGTCCATGAGCAATGTGGTGGACTAGTCAGCAGAGGTGATTACAACCCCCACAGTTCTGGGCTCCAGCTCCCCAAAGGCAAGCAACGATGGGCAAGGGAGAATGACTTGGTACGTGCCAAGTCTCACAAATAGTCAAAATTACCTTTGCAACCTTTATTGTAGTAGTATTCATAGTTCCCCTTGTCATTTAATTAAGACCATTTTCCTCCCACTCTGAACCCCACCCCAAATAATTTACTGCCCATTTTAAACTGTCTAAAAGGTTTGGTGTACACATGTGTGTGTGTTTATGTGTGTACAGAGAGGGCTAATTTAAAAGCAAGTCCTATGAGATGTCAGCATCATTAAATTCCTTTTAAACATAATTAAGATACATTTAAACCTCAAGATATGACAGCTTCTTCAATACAAAGTTTTGTCCTTTGCGTGCTGTCTCTACACACAAGTAATTTTCCTTAATATTACCCAACAATAGAGAAGGAAACCCCTAGAGCAAGGAGCTATGGCTATAGCAGAAGCTAAGCTGTTGCCCTGCTCTTTCTTCTTCATTTGAAACTCATCTTCTTTTGATTGTTTGTTTTCCTTTAGTCATCTCTGAACTTCTTCAGCAACCTCCTAAGCCATCTCGTAACTTCTGCATCCTCCAAAGTTGAAGATCTCAGATGTTTAGATACTTTTGGTGTATCTGTCTTTGACCCAGGTGTGGATGTATTTTATATATTTCTACATCATGTGGTTAGTCATTTTCTGCTGGCAAATCAAACACACCTAAGTTTGAGATCTATGTCTTCTGCTTTTGCCTCCTGACATATTGCTTCCATTTGTTCATTATCAGAAGGTCAGTGGGAGCAAATGCAAAACCGGACCATAAACGTGTCTACTTTTCTCATTAGAAT